>NC_000006.12:19302424-19453939 GCF_000001405.40 Homo sapiens
TGTTTCCTTTTGTTTAAGCCTGTTTGAGTTGGATTTTCAGTTACCCGCAGTAGGAACTATCATAATTGATACAATGTCCCACCTATAAAAAGATGAAAAACACTGCTCTAGGGGAACTTCTAAAAAACCTTACATTTCAGATAGGCATTTTAACTGATATTTTTCACTTTTCTAATTCTAAAGAAGTATTCTGACCTTTAAAATGGATTTTAATATAGTGAAGTTTCATGTTTAGAAGTCCTTCTTTTGTTTCAAAGGGCCTTCTTGCTCTGTAAGTGTTAAGGCTGTACAAATGGGCTTAAAAAAAAATCTGCGCAGCTGAATAAGGTTTCTGTTGTTGTTGTTGTTGTTGTTGTTGTTTTCATGTTTACATCCTCTATTTCCCTTTCCTTCCTTGTGACACTTCCAACCCTTCTCTTTAGCCCACACTGTGATACTGCCCAGACTGTCCCTGGGCTGCTCAGGATTTTGGTCTAGGTCCTAACTGGTTCTGTCCACTCTAAATATATATTCTGCTACGCGGTCTTCCCTGCACCCCAATTCTCACTTAAAATGCAGCCACCGTGAGTTGTTCTCAAGTCAGCTTGGGGGAATCATTAATAAATTTGTTCATGCTGAATTCTTTATGACCAATAATGGCAATGGAAACCTTAATTAGGAACCAGTGCACCTTGTACACAATAGAACATCTATGTTTGCTTGGTCAATAGAAAGGTTAGGGAAATGAATATATGAACCCATCTATAGAGTATTTATGATTGATCAGAGAACTCTTGAAATCACATTATAACCCTCGCAAATGAATCTACAATAGAATCTCAGGCACAGTGAGCCTTCTTTGGACTGGTTCTGAGAAGAGGCACCTTTCTCAGGGTTACTGGAATCACAACATTTATTTAACCATGTACTTCACGCACAGAGCCAACGCCAGTGGCAGAGGTATTCCTAATAAAAAAGGCCTGACTGCTGGAGACAGGTGTTGGGGGAAACTCCCCCACTCTTAAAGCTAGTGTGAACACCATCCAACATTCAAAGAGCTGCTCACGAGTCTCTGCTGCGGCCTGGCAGCCAGTCCTTCCAACCCTCTTTCCATTCTGTGCTGCCTCATGTTTACACAGTGAAAATGAAACTGTTGCCAGTGTTAATACAGCATAATTTATAAGCTGAGAAGAGAACTCAGCATGCATTCCCTTTTCAAGCGAAACAGACTGTTACTTTCAGAACCAACTGAAGGGTGGAGACATTTCTTGGAAACCAAGGCAACTGCTGATTCCTAGATCCTTTCCGCCTCACAGGATCTGCCTCTCATGAGGCTGGCAGGACCAGCTCACAGAAAAGACGGGTAATGAAAAGCCTCTTCCCTGAATTACAGAAGGCAGATTCATCGGATGAAGCCATTTTATTAGACTCCAAAAGTTCCCTTAAACCTCCATTACAGAAAAGGGACTCAGGGGACTTGGGGTCAGAGGCCTCGCTTATTAGAGAAGGACTATAACACTGAATTACTTTCTCATGCATTAGGTATGATTTCAGAGATACTGTAAAGCCAGACTCTATCTCAGAAGCTGGACAGAGGGCACAATTTCCTTTGGGTTTGGTAAAAGATGCCTGTATCCCTATCATACCCATCCTCCTTCCTGCTAACATAGTAACTGAGATTGTTTAACTACACACACACACACACACACACACACACACACTCTTCCAAACTCTAAGACCAATCTTGCCTCAAAGAGAGCAAAAGGTGAGGTGTTCTAGGGCAGTTGCTGACCAATGTTAAATCAACCTTGCTGGTCCCATCCTAAATGGAGAGGTAGTTAGGCCTGTCTAAAATTGGGTTCCTACCTTTTCTCTAGGTCTTAGGGTGATTTTTATCCGGTCTCCTAATTACTGAATTTATGACACTTCTTTCGGGAATCTGCCCTCCCAGATACTCCCTGAGGGCCTAACTATTGACTTTAAGAGCTTGGGTTTGAATTGGACCTTGTACAATGATACCTGCCTTCTTGCTATGCCTTGATGTTTTAGACTTATGGTTAAGCTCACCTTCCTTCCTATCTGCCTGTTCCTGCCATCATTTGCTGCCATGTTTAGACCCCCAGCCTCTGCCTAGCTCCATGCTATCTATCTGAATGACAACTAAACCCCAGTTATAATAGAGTATTGAGCCCTAGATCCCCCTTGGGACATGATGCTCAGGATCATAATGGGTCAATTATGCTGATTATCCTCTCATCCCCACCATTAGGGATAATGAGCCATGGTACTCAATGTAATGTTAAGGAGAGGATGCTCAGGAACAAACTGGAAGGTGGCTGCTGCCTGGGAGGAGTATGATAATGACCCTCACATCACATTCCACTTTCATGGCTCCAACTTGCACAGCTAAACACACATCCGTCCTTCTGTTGAACTTGGCCTTGGTCTCCAAGATCCAACCTGGCACTAGAAAAGCATGTAACTGGGACCCCTATCGCAGCTACTTAGTATGTTTTGAGTTCCTCAGTGTCTAAGAGACTGCCTTACACAATACTTTCCTTCTTCATTTCCATTGCTAAACCACACTGATGTCTTTAGAATGAGATGTGTTATCTCCTATAGTCCTATTGCACTTAAAACTTCATAAAGGTATAAGCTCCCAATCCGTTGCTAGGCCATCAGAACCTTGTTGGAAATCAGGCATTCAATAATTATTTACTGCTACAGTTTTTGAGTGTAATATCTAGATGAGAAAGAATGAGACCTGGGACGAATACGTTTTTATTGTGGAAAAGAAACAAGCTATGAAGACATAAATTTGCCTTTGGGTTTTCTATGGGTGGGGAGTGGAAGACACATGCTTACATAGACTAATGAGCTAGGGGTGTGTCTTTGGGATTCACTCAGCTGTAGCATTGCCAGGGACCAAACAATCCAGAACCAATAATGGTCAACATAGAGACTGGACTCCCAGCTCTTTGGGGCAACTGACCTTCCCCACTATTTCCTATATTTTCCAAATACTCAGCTCATCCTAACCCACTTTTGACTAGGAAATATGTTAATCAAACCAACATGAATATAAAGACATTTTGTTCCATGTGTTTTGAAATTAATCCCAGAAGCCTATAAAATGTAGTTAAGTCAAAGAAAACAGTATGGAAAACTATTTTGATTTTCCAGGGCACATTAAATGGAATTAAGGTAAGTATTCTCTTTTCCATGAGCTTTCTAAGAGGCATACGAACAGAGACACTGACAATGTAAGGTCGAAGCACATATAAAAGAAAACTAAATTAAGTTTAGCCTAAAGCTGCCTCCTTACATATTTCAAATTTGGCATAAAGGTTTCTTCATACATAGTGAACTGTAATCTACCTGGATGTCTAAACAGACTGTAATCTAGTCTTGTGCTAATCACCAAGTTTTGGGCAAAGGTGGCCAACTATTCAAACCCTGTTCAAATAAGGCAAACGCCAAGCTGGAAGCAACCTAGTTGTTTCTGTATCTGACTTCTGTTTTCCGTACCTCACTTTCCTTTTTCTGTCCATAAATCTTTTTAACCATGGTGCAGCCCCAGAGTCTCTCTGAATCTGGTTCACGGGCTGCCCAATTCATCAATCATTCTTTTCTCAATTAAACTCTGTTAAATTTAATTTCCCTAAGGATTTTTTTGTTTTCTTTTTGTTTTTGTTTTTGTTTTTTTACAAATTCATGGCTTAGTTAAGCAAACCTTGTTAAAATAAATATTGTTTTAAACCCAGAAATATGTCCAAGTACATGATCTTTGTAAATAACTCAGTTCATACTCTCTGTTGATCTCATCCACTCACTTGTTCCTGCATCTGCCTTTCTGTAAGCAAGGACATCCTGATGGCTCATGGGAAGATGACCTCTGGCGCTTGCCTCTGGCCACCTGGGTTTTCTTCAGCCGCACTGTTTGATGTTGCTTCTGTGACCTCGGTGTTCCACAGACTGACCAAGTTTTGTCTCCTCTTAAAGCCGCTGAGTACATGTGACATGGGGACAAGGGTCCACAGGTGCTTGTCTTAAACACTGGCTACCACATATAGGAGTCCTTTAGGGTAACACTTCACATATGTGGTAGAAGGAATTTTAAAATAATAGAATTTTTTTGCTTTTTTTAATATTTCATCTGACAAGACCCAGCAAGACCTTTCTGATCAGCTACGCAAACCAAATTTGAACAAAACGTATTTTTTCTTTTTGATTCCCCAAAAGTTAACCAATACAAATGGGACAGAAAAAATTTGAAAATGTCAGACTTTTTCTTAAAAGTATTACAGGCTTAATTATCTTATTATTTTATGAATTAAACTGTGAAGATGAAAGATCAAGATAGCATTGCCCATTACCTTAGAGAAGGTAAGTCTGTGTTCCAACTGATATGTACATTTTTCCTTCCATTCATTCTCATTCTCGATAGTTTCTTAAAAAGTTTACTTGGACTTGGCTGGGTGCGGTGGCTCACGCCTGTAATCCTAGCACTTTGGGAGGCCCAGGTGGGCGGATCATCTGAGGTCAGGAGTTCAAGACCAGCCTGGTCAACATGGTGAAATCCCATCTCTACTAAAAACACAAAATTTAGCCGGGCATGGCGGCACATGCCTGTAACTCCACCTACCTGGGAGGCTGAGGCAGGAGAATCGCTTGAACCTGGGAGGCAGAGGTTGCAGTGAGCCAAGATCCCACCACTGCACTCCAGCCTGGGTGACAGAGCAAGACTCTGCCTAAAAAACAAACAAACAAACAAACAAACAAAAAACAGTTTACTTGGACTTTATGAAGGCCTAAGTGAGTGTTTTAATAGAATATTTCTAACTCTTAAAAATTATAACATATTGAATCGGCAGAACACAGGATTTTTAGAGAAGTGAAACTCCTCCACATGATACTGTCATGGTAGATACATGTCACTGTAAATTGGTGCATACATTCATACAGAGAATGTCCAATATCAAGAGTAATACCTAATGTAAACTATGGACTTCAGGTAATCATGGTGTGTCAATGTAGGTTCCTCAGTTGTAACAAATGTACCTCTCTGATAAGGATGTTGATAACAGGGGAGGCTATGCATGTGTGGGGGCAGGGGTATGGGGGAAATCTCTGCATTCTTCTCTCAATTTTGCTGGGAACCTAAAACTCCTCTAAAAATAAGGTCTATTAAAATTATAAATATAATATTATATACAAAAATAATATATTTTTATATGATAACAGGATTCTACTACATTCAGACACCTCACTAGCTTTAACCATCCAGAATAAATAATTGGGAACCATGTTGCATTCTCATTGTTTTGAGTTTCAGGATATTAACATAATGATAAATACCCTCTACTAAAGTACCCTTTAGTAGATTGTGTGGCCCTGGGAGGTCTTCAATAAATCAGGGACACTTTCACCATCTGAGTATCTTTTTTTTTTTTTTTTTTTTTTTTTTTTGAGACAGAGTTTTGCTCTCGTCAGCCAGGCTGGAGTGCAATAGCGCCATCTCAGTTCACTGCAACTTCCGCCTCCCGGGTTCAAGTGATTCTCCTCCCTCAGCCTCCCAAGTAGCTGGAATTACAGGTGCCTGCCACCATGCTGGCTAATTTTTGGATTTTTGGTAGAGATGGGGTTTCACCACATTGGCCAGGCTGGTCTTGAACTCCTGACCTCAGGTGATCCGCCTGCCTTGGCCTCCCAAAGTGCTGGGATTATAGGCATGAGCCACCATGCCTGGTTCACCATCTCAGTATCTTATACTTTAGATGTCCCCGTGCTCAATTCCTTCACATATAAATAAGAAATATTCTGACTTTTGATATTTTGCAAGGTTTAACTAGTGGATATTAATAAATATACTTAGACTCACATTAGAATGAGCCAATTATATGTAGTGGCAGGGAGAGAAGGCAACCCTGCCCTTCTTTTGGGAATAGTACAAAAGGCAGAAGTGCAATGCTTCTCTAATGTATGACTAATTTATTTGAACCAGTTAATGTCTTATTCTTGCACTTTCCAAACACCTCAGGAGATTGTGGGTGTCAAACAGTTGGAAAAATTTAGGCATTTCAACTCCGCAATTCTCCATCTCTAACAGCAATGAGCATTTTAATAGAATGCTCATTTAGCAAACATTTAATAAGCATTAATAGAATGGTCATTTAATAAACATTTATTCATTCATGCTAACATCAGATTCAGAAAGAATCACAATCTTTTTCCTTACCATCTGAAAAATTAAATTAGATACTTCCCAGATCTCCATCCCAATACTGCTGATGGCGTCAAAGACAAAACAGGCCTGGGAGTCTAAGGGAGACTAAAGAGAAATGACAACTAAATGCTACGCTTAATCCCTGATAGGGTCTGCTAATGACAAAGAGAAGAAAAAAGCCCTAATGGTCTATATTGGGACAACTGGGGAAAATTTAATGTTGGTTTTTTTGTTTGTTTGTTCATTTTTGTTTTTTGTTTTTTGACGGAGTTTCGCTCTTGTCGCCCAGGCTAGAGTGCAAGGCACCATCTTGGCTCACTGCAACCTCCACCTCCCAGGTTCAAATGATTCTCCTGCCTCAGCCTCCCAAGTAGCTTGGATTACAGGTGCCCACCGCCAGGCCTGGCTAATTTTTGTATTTTTAGTAAATAGGGGGTTTCGCCATGTTGGTCAGGCTGGTCTCGAACTCCTGACCTCAGGTGATCTGCCCACCTTGGCCTCCCAAAGTGTTGGGATTACAGGCATGAACCACCGTGCCTGACCGATTGTTTACTAGATAATGATGTTGTATCAATTTTGAATGTCCTGGTATGATCATTGTATTGTGGTTATGAGAATGTCTTTGTTCTTAGATGCTGAAGTATTAATATATGAAGGGTCATAATGGAGACAACCAACTTTCAAATGGTTCAAGAAAAAAATAATGTAAAAATAGATGATAAATGTAAAAATAGATGATAAATAGATAATAGACAGATAGGTGATGGACATAAAACAAATGTGGCAAAATGTTAAGACTTGATGATTCTAGGTGAAGGAATTAGATATGTTTGTTCTTCATACTTTTATGGGACAATCTCTTCATAGGTTTAAACTGTTCAAAATAAAAAACTAGAGGAAATTAAAAATAACCCAGGGGAGCAGAGGTATATGTAAGGTACAAATGACAAAATATTGATCATGTGTTGATGACTGATCATGCTGGCTGGGGGTTTATGGGATGTTCATCAAACTAGTCTTTCTATTGTTGCATATTTTAGAAGTTTCTACAATAAGGATGATATGGTTTGCCTCTGAGTCCCTACCCAAATCTCACTTACAGTTGTAATTCCCATAGTCAGGGGAGGGACCTGGTGGGAGGTGACTGGATCATGGGGCAGATTTTACCCTTGCTGTTCTCATGTTAGTGAGTGAGTTCTCACCAGATCAGATGGCTTACAAGTGTGTGGCACTTCCTCTTTCACTCTCTCTCTCTCCTGCCGCCATGTGAAAACATGCTTGCTTCCCCTTTGTCCCTCCACCATGATTGTAAGTTTCCCAAGGCCTTCCAGCCATGCTTCCTGTACAGCCTGCAGAACTGTGAGTCAATTAAACCTCTTTTCTTTATAAATTGCCCTGTCTCAGGTAGTTCTTTACAGCAATGTGAGAATGGACTAATACAAAGGTAGTGTTTTTCTTTTCTTTTTTTTTTTTTTTTAATAGAGTGAGAATAATCCCTCTCACCCTATCTCTTAGTTTTCTTCCATGCTCTTTTTGAATGAAAGCCTCTCTCCACTTTAGCCAGAAAACCAACCATAATTATTGCCCTGTTTTCCTAACAGGGCAGTGGACTATGGAATGAGATGAGAAACTTGTGTTAATGACAACTAAATTACTGGCCCAGTGATTCCCTTTTTCTCCCTTCATTAATATCTACAAGAAACCAGTATTTCCAGTGCATTGGCCTCGTTTGATGTTAGGACCTGGAAGAAAAAGATAGAACAGCACAGTTGAAAAGAAAACCTCTGTGGAAGCAACCCAGATGCCCATTGATGGACGACTGGATCAAAAACATGTGGTACGTACATACAATGGAATATTGTCCAGTCTTAAAATGGAAGGAAATTCCACCACATGCTATTCCACCACATGCTACAATGTAGATGAACCTTGAGGACATTATGCACAGTAAAATAAACCAGTTACAGAAAGATAATTACTAAATGATCCCTCCTAAATGAGGTACTAGAGGAGTCCAATTCACAGAAGCAAAGAGTAGAAGGGTAGTTGCCAGGGGCTAGGGTGGGGGCTGGGGGCTGGGTGGGTATTGTTTGGTGAAACAGAGTTTCAGCTTAGGATGATGAAAAATGTTCTGGAAATGGATGGTGGTGATGTCTACCCAAATTGTGAATGTACTTAATAGGGTCTAAACTGTATACCTAAAAATGGGTAACATGGCACATTTTATGTGATACATATTTTATCAAAATAAAAAGGAAGAAAGAAAGGAAAAAAAAGGCTCTGTCCTTAAAGATCTTTGAAGTGTTGAGGCATCCTTGAGTTCAATACTTGCAATGTCCAGGGGGCAAAAATGTCTTATGTCAAGCGAAATAAGTCAGGCACAGAAAGGCAAATATCACATGTTCTCACTCATATGTAGAAGCTTAAAAAGTTGATCTCGGCCAGGCGCAGTGGCTCACGCCTGTAATCCCAGCATTTTGGGAGGCCAAGGCGGGCGGATCATGAGGTCAAGAGATCGAGACCATCCGGGCTAACACAGTGAAACCCCGTCTCTACTAAAAATACAAAAAATTAGCCAGGCATGGTGGTGGGCGACTGTAGTCCCAGCTACTTGGGAGGCTGAGGCAGGAGAATGACGTGAACCCGGGAGGAGGAGCTTGCAGTGAGCCGAGATCGTGCCACCTCAGCCTGGGCGACAGAGCAAGACTCTGTCTCCAGAAAAAGTTGATCTCATGGGGGTAGCTCTGGAAGGGTGTGTGTGAGGGGGTAGGAGGTGTGATGAAGAGAGGTTGGTTAATGGGCATAAATGTACTGTTAGACAGGAAGAATAAGTATAATGTTTGACAGCAGAGTAGGATGACCCTAGCTGACAATTTATTGTATGTTTTCAGGTAGCTAGAAGAGAGGATTTGAAATATTCCCACCACATAGAAATGATAAATACTCAAGGTAATGGATACCCCAAATACTCTGACTTGATCATTACACACTGAATTCATGTAACAAAATATCACATGCAACCCATATATATGTACAAATGTTATGTATCAATTTTTAAAATGAAAAAGAAAGGCAAATCTAAGAAAAAACAAAACAGTTGTTTCCTAGGGCTGTGTAAATTGCAGCTACTGGTAGGAACTCTCATATTAAAAGGGAACCCAAACCAGGGCGGCTTGAGGAGGCAGCTTCCCAGAAAGGATGGCTTTTTGAGCTGCCTTGTGGGGAGACCCTGCTGTGTGTCCCCAGTTCACCAGCAGTTGACTAGGAGTGAAGGGAGAGGGGAAGATTTCCTGGTAGTGTCTCTTGTAATACCTTGTTAGTACTTGTAATCAACATGGCTAGGATGAAAGAATTCTGGCTTCAGAACAGAAACATTGTGCTTTAAATTAAATCAGTTCCCTGCTGGGAGCCACTTACTCTCCTTCTTTACCACAGCCAGGGAAACAATTCAGAGGTTTCTCTGCATGGTTAGCAGCATGAGTGACCTTCAGTCTTCCCACTTAAAATCGATTCAAGATGATCACGCTGCCTTAAACAAAAGTCTCCATCTCACCCTTCCCGTTTCTCCTCCTCTTCCTAGTATCTCTGTCTCTGTCTCTGTCTCTCATAGAGAGCCTCACGTTTATTTGTCTTATGCGTGTGTGCACAAGAGGGGCTAAATCCACCCCAAATGTATCACCCTTCCACCTGGCTCAGGGCTGACAGTGAGATTTTGCATCTCCTCACTCTCCTCTCTCCTCCCTGAAGAACAGCAAGCCAGATGGCCATTCCCCAGTCTCCCAGCATGAGTTTGACTGACAGGAGCCTTTGATAAACCTTGGAAGAATGAAGTCATCTCCGGGTCACCGCGGTTGCCTGGCCTTTAACACCCCACACAGACCACCATTATCTGTTGAATAGGAGACAAAGGAAATTAGCCCTGCTTCCCTATCATCCCCATTATTTCCAGGCTGATTTAAACAAGGAAGCAATGAGATGCCCTTCACTTTTCTCCAAAAGGTACAAATGTCAGCTGTTAAAAAATGCAAACAAGAGGCTTTCCTATGTTAATGGTGGGTTTCTTTGTTATAGCTGAGAAGTGGAAAGTGCATTTTATTCACTGCCTTTGAGGAAAGACTTAACAGGATTCTAAACAACTTCCTTAACTACACATACCTCAGAGCCACCTAAGAGCATGCCTTCAGGGTTTTAGCTGGAAAAAGAAGGGAGGAAGTGGGACTTCATTCCCAATCTTTAACATCAAAGAACCTGGACAGACAAGTTACAAGAGTGTTCTACCCATTTAACCCTTTTTTTTTTTTTTTTTTTTTTGAGATGGAGTTTCACTCTTGTTGCCCAGGCTGGAGTGCAATGGCGCAATCTCGGCTCACTGCAACCTCCACCTCCCGGGTTCAAGCAATTCTCCTGCCTCAGCCTCCTGAGTAGCTGGGATTATAGGCATGTGCCACCATGCCCAGCTAATTTTGCATTTTTAGTAGAGACAGGGTTTCACCATGTTGGCCAGGCTGGTCTTGAACTCCTGACGTCAGGTGATCCACCTGCCTCAGCCTCCCAAAGTGCAAGGATTACAGGCGTGAGCCATCATGCTCGGCTTTAACCCTAAAATTGAAAAGGAAAAAAAAAAAGATTTCTCTCCTCTTTCCCAAAATAATTTTCTCCCACAAAGTAAATGTTTAAGTGCCAACAGAGCAAAAAATGAGGCAAGGGTACCATAGAATTGTCATTTAAGGGAATTGTGGCTGATTGTCTCCTGTCATTGTGTTGCAAGAGGCAGCACGTGTGTGTGTGTGTGTGTGTGTGTGTGTGCACATGTATGCATATGTGGGCATTTGTGTATACACATTATAGCAGAAAGGCTCATTATTGGGAAGAAATTTATTCATAACTATTCCATAGTTTCTGAATATTAGGAGTTGGTGTAAATAAGTTCTCTTTAGATGACAGCCCCCACTTTTTCTAAGAAGGCAATGCTCACCATTGTTACCATTTAGGCTATAATACTTTAAAGCTCTGAGTGCTGCAAAACAGCCAGAAGATTTCAATGAAAGGGCAAGTACCAGAGAAATCAAGACAATGCAGGTGAATGAATGACTCAATCAATAGACACTTGTTGGGCATCAGGGCCAGGCATTGCACTAGGTCCCTCAAGGGATACTAATTTGAAGGCATAGTCCCCACAAAAGGTTTCCAGCCTAGTAAGGAAACAGGAGTGAGACTGGACCTCGTTCCTAAAGTGGAACCTACATAAGTGAAAAGGTGAGAGGAGGCCCTCCCAGAAATAAACTAAAGCCTGGAGAAGAAAGAGAACTACGTGTTGAGGGGTTTCATGGGAATGGGAAGTACTTTTATGAATGGGGTTGAATTGTTGAGGGGTCGTATTTTCTGGATGAGGAATTTACACTTCCTTCTTGTATTAGTCTGCTCTGACTACCATAACAAAAGACTAGAGCTGGTGGTATAAGCAATAGAAATTTATTTCTCTCTGTTCTGGAGTCTGTAAGTCCAACGTCAAGGTGTCAGCAGGTTTGGTTTCTCCTGTGGCCTCTCTTCTTGGCTTGCAGATGGCCACTTTCTCTCTGCATCCTCACAGTAAGTCTCTATGCATGCATATTCCTAATCTTTCTCTTTCTTCTTATAAGGACACCGGTCATATTAAATTAGGGCCTCATCCTAATGACATCATTTAGTGTTAATTACCTTATTAAAGGCCATACCTCCAGATATAGTCACATTGGGGATTAAAGCTACAACATAGAAATTTGGGTTAGGACACAGTTCAGTCTTTAATACCTCATTAGGCAACAGGAATGCAGGGACTGATGGGAGAGGGGGACCCTCAGGATGAGAAGTTCTTTCAGAAGCCTGAGTGAATTAGTGAAGAGAGGGGCAAACTAAGAGACAAATTAGAAGGCTATTAAATTAGGCAACAGGTAAAATGGAAAGGACCTGAACTTGATGTTGGCAGTAAATGAAACAGGATGCAAAATAAAAGTGTTAAGAGAAAATCAATAGGACTTGATGACTGATCAGATATGGCAAGCAAGAGAGAAGAAAGATGACTTCAGGTTATAATTCTGAGAGCCTCGGGAAGTGGTTGAAAGATGAAATGGTACAGAGGAGGTACTGATACCAAAAGATGGAGTAGAAAGGTTATGATGTCTGCAACTTAAGCTCAGACACACTATGTTAGAAACCCAAGGTTTGTCATCTTCTGTGTGTGAGACCTTAGCAATTTACTTAACCTTCCTGCGTCTCAATGTACATTTGTGTTGAGTTGGGCGATAGCAGCAACCTCACTGAGTGGTTCACGTTTTATAGATAAAAGGATATCTCCTAATTCCACTGAGATAAAATTCAAAATTACCATGACAGATTGCAGAAGAAGCTTAAGAACAACATGTCATTCAAACTGTGGTGAGGTCCTTTAGGCAGAAGAGTTCAAAATCAATAAAACAAAGAACAATGATATAGACATAAGAGTCACACTGAACCGTGAGATGAACATGGAGGCTGTAACGTAGCTTAGAAACAAGTCTGATCTTGCGCACATGCAACAGAAATGCAACACTTGAGAACCATAAAATAATTATTTGCACTGGAAAGTAAGACACATTTTTTTTTAAAAAAAATGGCAAAAGGAAGCTAGGTGTGGTGGCTCACATCTGTAACCCCAGCACTTTGAGAGGCCAAGGTGGGCGAATCACCTGAGTTCAGGAGTTGAGGACTAGCTTGGCCAACATGGTGAAACCCATCTCTACTAAAAAATGCAAAAATTAGCCGGGCGTGGTTGTGCGCGCCTGTAATCCCAGCTACTCGGGAGCCTGAGGCAGGAGAATTGCTTGAACCCGGGAGGTGGAGGTTGCAGTGAGCCGAGATGGTGCCACTCCACTCCAGCCTGGGCAACAAGAGCGAAACTCCATCTCAAAAACACAAAGGCAAAAGGAATAGAAGAGATTGCTAAGGAAGGGAATCATCTCCTACCAACTGCTGAAAAGTTATTGTTTGGGGAATAGTAATCAATTCTCCATCTCTACTGAAGGTGGGAGGAGAAACAAAATGGACTCAAAGCAAATTAGAAGACATAGAAATGATCTCTAAGGAAGAAATTCTGACAAAGTGGTAAGCATATGCTCTGGGCTGAATTATGTCCCCCCAGTGTTGACATGTTGAAGTCCTAACCCCCAGTGCCTCAGAATGTGACTGTATTTGGTGAATGGGTCTTTAATTGGGTGATTATGTTAAAATGAGGTCTTGAGGGTGCACCCTAATTTAATCTGACTGGTGTCCCTTTAAGAAGAGGAGATGAGGCCAGGTGCGATGACTCATGCCTGTAATCCCAGCACTTTGGGAGGCCAAGGTGGGTGGATCACCTGGGGTCGGGAGTTCGAGACCACCCTGACCAACATGGAGAAACCCTGTCTCTACTAAAAATACAAAATTAGCCAGGCATGGTGGCTCATGCCCGTAGTCCCAGCTACTTGGGAGGCTGAGGCAAAAGAATCGCTTGAACCTGAGAGGCAGAGGTTGTGGTGAGCTGAGATTGTGCCACTGTGCCATTGCACTCTAGCCTGGGCAACAAGAGCGAAACTCCGTCTAAAAAAAAAAAAAAAAAAAAAAAAAAAGGAGAGGAGGACAAAAGCACAGAGAGAAGACCATGTGAGGATACAGAGAGAAGACGGCCATCTACATGCCAAAGGGAAGGGCCTCAGAAGAAACCAGCCTGACTGACACTTTGATCTAAGATTTTCAGCTTCTGGAACTGTGAGGAAATCAATTACTGATGTTTAAGCCACACAGCCTGTGGTATTTTTTTAGGACAGCCTTAGAGCCCACAATACTGAAGATTCTTGTAGCATCTCCCTGCTTTGCAATTTTTAAGAACAGACTAATCAAATTATGAGGGGAGAGCTCATCAAATCTTCAATTAACATTTTTATTCCTTGATGACAGCTCCCATCATTGTTGGTCCAGAAGGTTCTCTTGTTCAGAGACTTAATGTGATTTTCAAATAGTTCGAGTTATGCTCAGCACCACAGAAGCAAATGCCCCCACCTTTGCCATGATTGGTTTTCTGGAATCACAGAAAAACAGAACACAAAATGGCCTTCGAGAGTACTGTCTAAATTCATTATGTAGCTTAATTGGGCCAATTTGAATACTTTTGTAGCAATCCTTGGGTCCCTTGGGATGCAGCGCAGTTCTTAAAGTGGTGATTATTTCATTTTTTTACACTTGGAACTCCAATTCTTTGTAATTAATTATGCAAAAAATGTAAGAGAAGTTTGTGGAAGTAAAGCATCTTGGTATTGCCTAAAAATTAAAAAAACTTCCAATTCAAAACATGAATCCTTCTGTACATGTCACCCAGTGGCTAACTAAATGCCTTTAACTGTCAGAAACTCATCTTCATAGGGCTGCCCCTGTGGTTGCGTGAGGGTGGAACTCTGTATTTCTGTGCCTTTCCTTGGCTGATAGCAGCTTACAGTAGTTGTTCTTTTAGTCCACCCAGCATGCCTCCCAATCCTACCCCTCACCTTGTCCATGACCCAAGCCCAGGGAAGCAAAGTACTTTCCAAGTATTTTTCAGGCTTAGCTGACAGTAAAGAGCCTTCTTTTCTCTCTGGTTGCTTGATGAATGACAGTCTGGGGGAACATAACGCAGTAAGATAATATCAAGTTTGTTGTAAAAGTAAGTGAGAGAGAAAAGAGAGAGAGAGAGAGAGAGAGAGAGAGAGAGAGAGAGAAACACCCTGGTCCTAGTTTTCACTATGGCTAGCCCTTTTTCTGACTTTCCCACCATTTGGTTATGTGAGCCAATAAGCCCTTCTTGTTTGCTTATGATACTTCCAGTTACATTGTCATCACATGCAAATATGAAACTTGGCTGAGGAATAAGTATAATACATCCTCTCCAAATGTTTGGAAGCCATCATTAGAGAGATCATATTTTTATTGTCAAACTAGGGCACTTTTGAGAGTGAAATACAATGCAAATTGCAATTATACTGGGACAATAGCCATACACTTAGACCAGTCCAATAAACTTATCGTTAGTCTTCTTACTCTTACTCTTTCCAGTTCACACATCCCTGATTTTTTCTTACAAGTCATGGTTAGGAATCCCTCACCACGTTGACTGATATCCTTTGGACACTTGGCAGTTTGCCAGTGTCTTACAATGTGTTAGCTAGAATTGAATCCAGTTCTCAACATGTAGTTGACCAGGGCAGCAGATTACTTGGTTGGGAGCATATATTCCCGTGAATCCCATTGATGCAGCCTCAAACTGAATCTCCCTCTTGCTCTCACTCTTCTCTTTAACAGCACTTTACACTGTGGCTAGTACCTGGTTGGTGTTTAAAGACCAAAGAATAAATGGCTCACTTTGAGATGGAAGTCAACTATAATCCAGTTAACTTTTGGGGATGGAACTTCACATCTCTCTGTCTTAAATATCATCTTGTTAGTGTGAGTTTATATCTCACAATGTCATTGTTTCTCCCAACCTCTGCTCTTTATTAAATTTAATAAGCATATCATCTCTGTATTATTATTATTGATGTTGATATTAGCTAACCCTTAGTGCTTCTTATATGCCAGTCCTTATTCTAAGCATTTTAAATTCAATATTCAGAATAAAATTATGAGATGAATATTATGACTATTCTCATTTTGAGGATGAAGGAATTGAGATACAACAAGGTAAAGTAGATTGCCTAAGGTCACAAAGATAATAAGTAGCAGAGTCAGGTTTCAGTGCAGACACTCTTGCTCCAGAATTCGTCTTCTTAACCACCTTGCTATTCCTATTCAATTAATTGAAGATTATTATTATTATTGAGATGGAGTCTTGTTCTTTCACCCAGGCTGGAGTGTAGTGGCATGATCTTGGCTCACTGCAATCTCCGCATCCTGGGTTCAAGTGATTCTCCTGCCTCAGCCTCCTGAGGAGCTGGGATTACAGGCACCCATCAGCATACCTGGCTAATTTTTTATTTCTAGTAGATACGGGGTTTCACCATCTTGGCCAGGCTGGTCTTAAACTCCTGACCTGGTGACCCACCCGCCTTGGCCTCCCAAAGTGCTGTGATTACAGGCCTGAGCCACCGCACCCAGCCCAATTAATTGATTACTAAGATGTGTAACAGGACAAGGTCAAGGAGACAGACTGTGGCATCCTACCATGAATACACAGCACTCAATGAGTTTGTTCTGTTTCATTATCTACTACTGTACATAATTGTATGATAATAAGCATATAAAAAACGCAATGTCATATGTCTTGCTGAAGCCAAGATACACTCTTCCCATCTGAATGTTTTAAATGCTTACAAAACATCATTTTATTAATCCAATCTAGAATTTTCTCTTGAGCTAATGTCAAATTAATAGTTTTGTTCTTTGTATTATTTTCTTCCTCCTTTCCCTCCTTTCTTCCTTCTCCTTCTCTTTCCTTCTTTCTCTTCCCTCCTCTCCTTTTCTTTTTCTTCCTTCCTTCCCTCTCCTTCCTCTCTTCCTTCCTTCTTTCCTTCCTTCCTCCCTCCCTCCTTGCTTTCTTCCCTCCCTTCCTTCCTTCCTCCCTTTCTTCCTTCCTTCCTCTCTTTTCTTCTTTCTCTTCCCTTTCTCTTTCTTCCTTTCTTTTTCCTTCCTTCCTTCCTTCTTTTCTTCTTTGCCTCCCCCTTCTTCCTTCTTTCCTTCCATCCTTCCATTCTTCCGCCCCCTTTTTCATTCTTTCTTCTCTGTCTCTCAGAAGAGTTACATTTGCCTGACTGCCTGCTTCTAGTCTATTCTCCCATGCTCTGTGATTTCTTAAAGATCATAGCACTTGCCCTGGAAGTCCTCTCTTAACCCAAGCCTCTGATTTCTTTGGGTAAAAATTTGAATTTACTTAGGGATGTTAGCTAACCTGTGGCTCTTTCACCTAAGAAATTATAGCTATTAGCAGAATCTGCAAATTTGTACAACTGGTTCAACATAGGCTTGCCAGATCAACCAATGACTTGAACTAACTTTGAAGATCTTTCCTCCTTTTGTGAACATAATTTCACTTTGAGATATTTTAATCTCAACCTAGCCATTGTAAGAACAAATCAAAACACAAGACAATGATAGCAACCACCGTAACTGGCACAGAATGTACTCCCCAACCTACCCCAGACCCCAAGCGATTACTAGGCCAAAGGTTTCAAAAGTAACAAGACAATTATTTGAATAATTCTGAATGCAGAAACTGAAAAAATGAAGTGTACAAAAATTGAAGAAATACCTGATGCTATGGTCATCCTAGATACAAGTTCTTTTGGAGACAGAGAAATACAAGGTCATAAATGGAATCATAGCTGTGGAAATTAGTCTAATTACACAAACACAGGGCCTAAAATTAATTCAGAAAATCTTGAAGGAATTAAATAAAGTCCAGATATAAATAAATATAAAAAAAACAGTACTCTTGACCGATCTGGCTATTGGATGCCCAACTGCCTGCCACTGGAAAGGGCAGAGCCAACAACAAATACTGCCAGCCAGGAGATGAGTTTTTTCACCTCTCTGCAAGGCTGAATAGAAGGAATTTAATTTGCCCGCTTGGCTCTTATGCAATGCCAGGTAACCTTAGAATAAAGAGGGCTTTGAGGGAGAAAGCCAGACTTCCCCAACATGTTGCTGCAATCATATTCTCCTCTTGTCAGATGCCTGCAGACACAGTGACTGACTTGTCCCAGACTGCTCATTGCTATCGCTCAGATCCATGAGGCTGTGTCTCCCACAGAGAAGGATGGGAGGTACAAAGGCTCCAACTGCTCTCACTGTGAAAACTCCACAGTGAAATTCCATCAGACAGAAGCCAGCTCTCTGCTGAGTGAATTGGGCCTTTTATCAGTCAGATTTGTATACATTATAGAAAGAGCCAAAGAAGGGAGTTACTGTACACTTCGTATATTTTTAGTTCCCTAGGATTAGTTGCTATTGGACTGAACGTTTGGGGAAGAGAAGAAAAAATGCAACTTCAGTCCTCTGTGTATGCTGGTGGCTTCCTGAGGTCTCCAAGTTTTTCTGGACTTGCCTGTTTGCTTTTCTGATATACCATGGTACGTTCTGTAGCACAAAGGGCATATTATCTATTTCATCTTCCAAATTTTACCTCTGCTTCATTTGTTTTTCAAATAATTTACTAATGAGGGCCACTGTGTGTGTGTGTGTGCATATGCATGTGTGTGAATAAACACATGCACACGCACACAAACTTTCATTCATCTGATTTTAGTTTTGAGCCTAACTCATCCTACTCACCCAAAGCAGCACAATAAAAACATTTCTGTTGGCAGAATCAGCGGGGGAAACCTTTGCAATCCTCTTACTTTCTTCATTGACTTTACTTATTGCAAAAGCAGTTCCTTGTGGTAAAATAAAAACAAAAACAAAAAAAAAGCAAATAAGTAGGCTATGTGGATGTAGAGATAGCATCGCTGTCATTAGATTTACAATTTAAAAAAACTGACATTGTTGACTTGGTCTTCTACACAGTTTTATAAATAGAAACAATTCTTCTACCATTTTATTCACTGGCATAATTTTTCGGTCATTCTTACTTCTTCCCCTCAACTTTCTTTCAATTATCTAAGGTTTCAATTATTCATCAAATATTTATTGAGCACCTGTTATGTGGTAGGCATGTACTTGGTGCTGAGGATCGGATGGGACAATGAATAAGACAAGCATGGCCTTTGCCCTCCTAGACCTACAGGATATTCCATTAAAAATATGACACAAGGCTTATTCCCATAAAAATCCCTCAAATTACATTTTAGACACTATTATTAGGGATCAATGCAGGGAAGATGCCATATCTCTAGGGACAGAAGAAGAGGTAAAGGGATGAAAATTAACCAAAGAAAATAATCTGTTCAGCAAGGTTTGTAGACATACTACTGTATGGCTCTTGAAGGCTGTATACAGAAGACGGAGTCCTTGCTTTCTTCTTCCATCCCTAAGAGATAAATCTGATTTCCAAACTTCAGGCTGGTTTCTACTTCCTCCTAAGCTACTGTCTACACTCCCTTCTAGTTTTTTCACTGATGCTGCTGAACCAATGAACTTCATCAGGCTCTACTTCTTTGGGATGCAATTTGAGTGTCCTAAGGTAAAACACCTATCTCTTTACATGGAAGTGGTTTCTGGGCCCGGCTCAGAAAGACCCCCAGGCTTGGTTTAAGGCTCTGCTGTTGCTGCCTTAAAATTCTTGATACTTTCAAACAAGGGGTTCCACATCGTATTCACAAAGACTTAAACATTATGTAACCAGTCCTGTCCTTAGAATTAATGGGCAACCGGTAGAAAATTTTGGACCTGGTGGGTGGAGAGACTCTGCTCGGATGCTAATTGTAAGCTCTTATCCTCCACCTAGGTTTAATAGATAACAAGCTTTGGAGATTATGGCATTGGACAATTACTTATAAATGCTCAAGAAATAATTCAAGTGATTACCGCCCTAATATGTACTTGACAAAAATTTACTGAGCCAAATTCTTACAGATGGACCAAATGAAGCTTAAGGGTTTCACTGACCAATCTCTTATGAGCTCTTTGACAGTCATTGTGTTGCTAAAGGAGAAATGAAAAAAAAAGCCTATACATTATTGTTAAATCATATCTAACAATGCTTATGTAGAATATGGAACTTGGAATCATGAGACCTGGGTTCAAATGCAGATTTTCTGTCTTACCTATTACATGACCTTGTTTGAGCTACTTGTGCATTTGGGGGCTTTTAAATTTTTTCTATCTAGAAAACAGGGAGAATAATACTATGTTCTGGGTCATTGTGAGGATTAAATTAAATAGTGTAGGTTAAAGTGCCTATCAGAGTCTGTGCCGCATAGTAAACACTCAATAAATCATTGTGCTGGTTTGATATAATTATAACTCTTTACTTAGAAATAGAATTCCTCTGCATGCATTCATTAAGAAAAAATAATGAGTTATTATTAGAGTTTAATAGATTATAATTTCTCAAAAAAAGCTGATCATTATATTTATTTTTACCTCTCTTCTTTTTATCTTCTCAACACTAGCCAACATTACTACCAGTGGCACAAGGATTCTTTTTATTAAATAGGATTTATACTCTACACTTACAGGGACATGAATCTTTAATAAGGTTCAGTCAGATTCCAGGAATTTTGTTTATGTGGTGTGTGTATGTGCACAGCTATGCACAATTAATCAGAGTTTTCAAAGTAGAATCAAGTTAACTTACCACCAAGAGTCCTCTGCCCCCTGCTGCTTCACCAAATTACTACTGTCACTCTTTGTAGAACCCAACCAGTAAAGAATTTGGGGTTTCATCTAAAGATGTGTCTGTGTGGATCATTTGTACATCAGAAACAAATAACCATTGTTTTCTTTAACCAGTGCCCTTTTAGCCAACCCACAAAATAGACTTTGTACTTTCTTTAATTTAAAAAGCAGAACTCACATCAACTAAGTCGGATTTGGCATAATTTTAAGAAGAAACATTATCATTACATTCAATTCTCTTGTTATTCTTGGCTTTGAAAGGTGAACGTGAGGTTATCATCCAGGTTCGTGGAAAGCACTAATGATGGTCTCGGGGAAAAGGGCAGTTTCGACATCTCCAAGGTAATGGTTGTGGTTGTGGTTCAAGAGCTTCTCTATCCAGGACTGCCAAGAGTACATTTCATTATAACCATAGACCATGGCAACTAATCAAGAAGTAAATTCCATGAATTGTGAAAGTTTTTTATATATTTATTATAAAATATTTGGAATTGTTTCTTGACAGACTTGAGTGTTAAGTATTTGGCTGTAAATTTTACATATGTAACCCAAAATAACTCAATGAAATAGCTTCGTTTTACAGAAGGTGAAACTGAGGTTTAGTGAATTTGAGAAATGCTCCAGATTATACTTGGACCTGGAAAAATCAGGACTAAAACCAAGCCTGCCAAACACAAAAGGTGGTGCTCTTACGCAGAATGGCACTCTGTCTTCTATTCTGCCATTTACCCTCCAGCTCCATACCTCGTCCTACTTTCCTCATTTACAACTGAGAACATAGAGAAGTGAGCTTGCCTGCAGGGCTTACCACGGAAGAGAAAAGAGTACGTAGACAGAAACCAGTTACTTAAATATTAGATCCACAAGCTCAATGTTCAATTCAGAGGTTTCCTAAATATCCTGACCTTACAGCTATCCTCATGCAACAGTGTAACACCAAAAAATATATTAATATACATGAATACAAATGAAAATTATACCTCCTACAAATTATCTTTTTAGAAATAAGACTGGGCTTAAGCTTACAATAAGTACTTTCAGGATACAGACATATTTTAAACATGTAGCATAATTTTGCTATTTAAATTAATAATCTGGAAGAAAAAATCAATAATCATCATGGTACTAGCTATTAAAAATAAATCTGTATTTTTCACATTCTACTATTCTAAATAAACCATTTGTAGTAGGGTTGGCAAACATGCTCATACTCAATTTCATTCTATGCAAGCATTGCACACGTGAGGGACTCATGGTTTGTTTGTTGATGTTGGCCAAGTTAAAACCTCCATTGCTATCTGAACATGTGAAAGTTTTCAAACCTGCTAACATGGAGTTTGCACCTGACAGAAGGGAAAAACATTTTAACAAGCTTTATTTCATCTGTTGAGAGAAAATGAAATGAAGTTTGCAGTGATATTTGCTTTTTAACAGAGCCAGTGAAAAAGCTGTGGAAAGATAAACATAGAAAACAAAAAAAAAAAGAGAGAGAACTCACTCAGATTATGCTTTTCTTTCTCATTTCATGTTTTTCTGACTCCCACCTACTTTTCTCTATAATTTTCTGCCCAGGCTGAAAAGTATAAAATCCTTTTACATCTCTACATGCCAATTTCCACAGCTTCTGCTCCTTGCTAGCAAGTAAAACGTGGTCCAGCCAGAAGACTGCTGGCTGGTTGTTATGCCATGAACACCAGAAAATCCCAAGGAAACATGCAGAGCTCTATTCAAATGGCCACCGAAAGCGCTATACTGGGAGAAAAAGAGGGGCTGTCTCTTACAGTTTTTTAAACTGGGCATCCTTGAATCAAAATAATTTCCCAACCCTTTTACTAGCTTATTATCTCCTGCCCCCTTCCAAAAATATATATATATAAAATTAGCTTTCTGGATTCAACATGTAGGTCACTTCATTCAAGCTTCTGTTCAAATGTCACCACCTGAGAATTGCCTTTGCCAAACACACTATGTAAAATGTCACCCCGCACCCCTGACACCTTCTATCCCATTTTCTCTTGCTTTATTTTTCTTGATAGCAATGATCACTACCTGATACTGCATCTTTTGTTCATTTATTTATTGTTTTTCTCTCCTTCCAGCATGTATGTGCCATGAGAGTAGACTAATTGACTACTGTACCCCAAATGTGTTGAACAGGATCCCACATCTGATACTCAATATATGTTTGTGGAATTAATTAAATACCTGTGAAAACAAGCTGAACCATATGGAGCTGGCAGCAGTATACTGACATGCTACTTTCTGATGTCATTTGTTCTCACCTAATTCTGCCTGAAGAAAACCTTTTCAGGGAGGCAATCTTCAGTCCAAGTTTCTTCCACTTCTTTCTTCTGTTCTCTGTGTAGTCAGCCCAAAGGATATTTGAGTTCAATTTGCAGAGAAATGCCATAGATAGAAATGATAATGTCCCTTCAACTTAAAAGGGCCGAGCATGTTTTGAAAGTGTTTTATGAACTGGAAACCTTTCTATGAGATATTCCACTGTAGCCCCATAAAACCTTACACCCTGCTGGAATTTCATCCTGTTAAATTTGGCAGTGTTTCCTTCCTCAAGTAATGAGTTCAATTCATGTTTTCATTTAAGTTCATACCCAGATACAAATCAGTGTCACTGCCACAGGCAACGATTCGCAGAATTCCCAGGCGCCAAGGCTGAGGGATGGCGGGTTCAGAAGAATGAATGCCAAATTCTCTTTTTCACTGAGGGCAGTGTAGCATTTACTGTCATAAGCCTGCCTCATGCCAAGTCCCATGGAGGCAGTTGGCTAAGTGGGCTTCCGGCTTCTATCTCAACGCAAGCTCGTCTTCTAAAGCCTCTCTGGATTTCCTGTGGTAATCCTTCTTTGTGTACCTCTGAGAAAGAAACAATAATAGTTCAGTATTTTTAGTTTCTTTCTTTTTTCCAAGAAGAGAGTTCAAGAGCACAAGTGGTTTTAGTTAAGGATTCAATAAACACTTTGGCAAGAATGAGGAAAGCTGTGTAGAAAAGACCTAGCAGTTCTTCCAGTTGTATTAATAGCTTAAGGGGGTATTTTCCCATGAGGAAAATAGGGCATAGTCAATACTATGAGAGCCCACCTCTGTCCTTTGCTGATACATCAGGTAATTAAAATCTTATACTTACTCAATGGCTCTTTTAAACATGGTATTATCAAGGAATGATTGTTTTTGCAACAAAGATGGTAACAATGACAGCAAGAGCACCAGTGTGGAAAGTTCTTCTCTGCCTGTCAGGGAATCTATCCTGATTTGCAATGACACTATGACTTCTTGCAAGCAAACACCTGGAGACTGGGTCTAACTACCTGGGCAGGTAGTGCTGAGCTTCAAGGCAATGCTATCACGTAAGTCTTCATTAGGAGCGGCACTGCAGCCAGCTCTTCCCTTCCTCAAGCCACATTCTCAGACTTCAAAGAGATCTCACCCATTTGAAGGAGAAAAGACAGTGGAGCACAAGGTTGGAAAATAACAGGAGGAAAGCAGTTAAAGGAAAGTAAAAAAAGAAAAAGATAAATTGAAAAGTAAAGTGTTTGTCTTCTTAATATTCAAGAGATCTAGCTAATTTACACACATACACACACACACACACACACACACACTCATATTTTGCTAGCCCTTTTACCCAGCTGTAAATTTGTGACTCTGAGCTTCCATAATCAGAGGACTGAAGCCATTGTACTAAGAACCTCAAATCTTAGTATATAGTTCCACTGCTTTTCTTCATGCCAGGTGAGGCGGACAACTGAGCCCACAGTGAGCTGATGGTTGACAGACCCCTCTGAGAGATCTGAGAGATCTGTCTGTGGAACTCCCTTGGTAGATAGATGGCTATGCTATGCTGTGAAACATATTTTCTTTGTGTACAAATTGGAATAACATTTAGATGCCTGATGATGCTTTACAAGGCCTTCTCTATTAAAAGATAGTTATTTTTCTACTCTCCCTTTAGAGGCTTCTTCTCAACCCTAATTTGGTCCCACTGCTTAGAGATCACTATGCTACTACCATTTGGCATAAAATTGACATAAAATTGCATGTCTTCCAAATTGTGCCATAATAAGCTGAAATATACATGCAAGTATTCATGTAATATAACTTTTATATCAATGCAATGTATTCATTAATTAATGTGTTAATTCATCAATTATTTGTTGAACACCTACTAATTCCAGGTATTGCCAAAGAAGCCGGACACTGTGAGAAGGTATAATGAATACAAGTTCTTTGGCGTGTATTAAAAATATGAGGCTTACATGGGAAACAGTCAGTTGTTAATATACACTGTACATCATTCAGGAGATATTGTATATAAAAGCTATTTCAGACACTAAGGCATTTGGTCCAAGGCATATTCTCTACATTACAAGCAAATTCTATTTTGCTTATTCAAATAATTCTTGGCATTTTGAGTGGTTATATTTTAAGTTGTCATATCTCAACCCAACATGCAGGAAGTGACCTCGCTTTGAAACATTGTGTTTAATCAGGAGTTTTGATCTGGTGTGACATCAGTGTGCCTGTTGCAAGAAACTGTTTTAAGTCCAAGAGCAAAAGCCATTGTCTCCATTATCTGTATCACAACTACAGATGAGCTGGATTTTGCCATGGGATGTCGAAAGGTAGAAGTTCACAACCTGAGGCTTTAGTTCTGAAGGATAGGTTCAGATAGCTGCAGAAATGGAAAAATAATTCATCACCCTATGAAGAACTACTACAGAGACCAGAATGTTCTTCTGAAACCAACGGGAAGCAGGGCCTGCCGGACTGTTTAAGATATGCAGCCAGTGATTTCTTGAAAGAAGATGAGAGGAGAGAGGGAAGGTTAGGACAGAACTAGCAAGAGCTGTGAGGGGAACCGGCAGAAAGGAAAACGGCCGATGCCAAGTTGTCAGTGGAGGAGTGTGATGCTCTTACAGAGCTAGAAGAGGTCAATAAATCACCGCCCTTATCTTGCAAACAGAGCCTGTGACTTCAAAAATTAGCTCATTTATTCTGCACAATTAAATTTATTGAAGTGTGACAGTAAAAGTTTAGCAGGCAGTGAAGCAGAAAGCCAGCAACAGCCGAGGCGAGCATCTGAGTGAATGACACAATTAGTTGATTTTCATTTTATTTATCAATATAATTATTGAATTGTATTTATCCTTTTTCACAGATTTCTACAATTATTACTGCTCGGGCCTCTAGGGAAAGAATTAGTTTGAATTCTCAGACTAAGTTAATGTGATTATGGAGCTGCTAATAAAAGGAAAGTTCTTTAAAGTGCTACACAATCTTGTATTCAATGTCACTCCCATCATCGGGCTTAGAAAACCAGTCCCTTTTCATGTGAATGTGGTAAATTGAATTTAAATTTGTATATGTATGGAATTCCCCAGGTGGGAACTGAGCTGGGACTGGTCAATGCCCTCCTTTCTGGGACTGTAAAGGATTTGTCTTGTATTTAAAATTGGAGACCAGGATATATATATATATATATATATATGTGTGTGTGTGTGTGTGTGTGTGTGTGTGTGTGTGTGTGTGTGTGTGTGTGTTTTGAATATGATGAAAAAAGAAATCCTCAAGAATTTCCTAACCTTTAGGAAGTCTGGAAAAGAAAGAAGGATAGAGGTGATGGAACTGCTTTCTTTTTTGTTTTATCTTGGATTTATCAGGACTTGGCATTCCACTATGTCCCTGTGAAAGCATGTCAAAAAAAAAAAAAAAAAACAGAACAAATATAAGTTGTTAAGACAGTATGCATGTTCTAGAGGAGAGATGGAGCGCATCCTGCCACACAATTTCTGGGAACCTAGTTTATCCCCCTGAAGCAGCAGTGTAGGAATGTACCAGCGTACCAGCTGTATGAATCTGAATCATCTTCTCCCAATACATCAAGACAATGGGTGCCAAAGTACACTCTTCCTGCATGGTCCGAAAAATAACCCATTTCCTAGAGAAGGGAACTCAATCTCATTCATCATCTCCAGGCCTTTCAGTTAAATGTTTTCTTGGTCTGAGAGACGGTGAGTTTCTCTGTGAAGGTGGAGTGAAGACAACTCAAGTTCAACTTCTAATAAACCCAACAAAGTATATAAGTTCCCAAGAAATCTGTTAAAGCAGTGATTTTCAAGCTCAGAATCTATAAGGATCATGGGGTACAAGTTAAAATGAAGATTCCTAGGTCCTATCTCCAGAGAGGAATTGGGCTTGCATTTTAAAATGAATATTCCATTGGCTGTGGCTTGGGAACCAACTTCGAGAAATATTAGAAGTGCTAAAGTAAATCATGAACTTGAATAGTGGCAGCTCTTCCAAAGATAAACGGTTCTGCCATCCATAAAACTGGGAGAACTGCTGACTCACAGGTGAAGAAAACACTAAATTCTGACCCTAATATAGCACCTAACACACAAACTAAAGCAGGATTTATCACTGCCACATATTCAGCGTGATCATTTATCTAGTTCTTATTAATGTGGGATAATACTCATAGAAAGAGCTAATATTTATTGTCGCTATTATAACCCAAAATAATTCTTTCCTTTTTTAAAGTTTTATTTCAGGTTCAGGGGTACGTATGAAGGTTTGTTACACAGGTAAACTTGTGTCACGGGGGTTTGTCGTACAGAGTATTTCATCAACCAGACATTAAGCCACGTACCCAATAGTTATCTTTTCTGCTCCTCTCCTTGCTCCTACCCCCACCCTCAAGTGGAACCCAGTGTCTGCTGTTCCCTTCTTTGTGTTCATGAGTCCTCATCATTTAGTTCCCACTTATAAGTGAGAACATGTGGTATTTGGTTTTCTGTTTTCTTTATTTCTCTTTTTCTTCAACTTTCCAATTTAATCTGTCAGTAAGACCTGTCTGTTCTGCATCCAAAATATGTCTCAAATCTGCCTACTTTTGGTAACCACTAGTTTAAGTCTGCTAAGTCTCACTCTGGAAGCTCAGTGTGGCTGAAGTAGAGTGGGTAAGAGAGTCCTGGATGTTCATATTAGTAAGCTAGCCAAGGGCCAGATCATATAGGGTCCTGTAGGCCCCCGACTTTAGACTCTATTCAAAATGTGATGGGAAACCACTAGAGTACTGAGATGTCATAAGCATCAAGATGTGATTCATCCTTTTAAAAGGTTCATTCTGACAGCTAAATGGAGTACAGGCTGTTAAAAATATATAAAATGAATTCAATATTAGATTAAACTCTGAAGTCACGGGACACGATTTTAGAAAGATACTCTAGTCCATTGTTAATTGCCAAATAAACAGATCTCCAAGGGGGATGGGGAAAGTCTCTTCTTTTATGACCCATTCCTTTGTAATTCATAAACTATCTTTGACATGATTGCACCCAATCTAAGTGATACTATAACTCAATTTTTTGGATACATACTTAAATTAGATTTCAAATGGTCACAAAGATTTAAGTATCATTCTTCTCCTTGTGCATTTTGAGAGAGGCTAGCAATGAACTACATGGTTCAAGATAAAGAAAACACATAATTTGTCAGAAGATATATACAGAGCATATAAATGTCTATCATTCATAAGCTTGTATCATCCTGGGCTAGCAAGACAGAAATTTTTATCAGTGTCACTTCCTACCTACCTATTCTTTTTAAAATGGGGGTGGGGTGGGAGGTAGGGTGTGGAAAAGAGTATAAAGTATTCATGAGTCATTGGACAAAGGTCTGACTTACCTCTGTGATGACTGGACTTCAACATAAGAGCACAGGAGGCCAGGTGCGGTGGCTCATGCCTGTAATCCCAGCACTTTGAGAAGTTGAGGTGGGTGGATCCCTTGAGGTCAGGAGTTTGAGACCAGCCTGGACAACATGGTGAAACCCAGTCTCTACTAAAAATACAAAAATTAGCTGGGCATGGTGGCACGCTCCTGCAATCCCAGCTACTTGGGAAGCTGAGGCAGGAGAAATGCTGAAACCTGGGGAGATGGAGGTTGCAGTGAGCCGAGGTTACGCCACTGCACTCCAGCCTGGGCGACAGAATGAGACTCCATCTCAAAAAAAAAAGAAAAGAAAGAAAGAAAGAGCGAGCACAGGGGCTAAAATTATGCCCAAGTGGAATAAATATACTTCCTGTAAAGTGAAATAGAGAGGGCCAAATAGTTCACTTCCAGTTAAAAGAGTGGAATGAGATATGAAGTTTACGAGTTGATTTTCTAGTGCCTAAGATGTACCCGTGGCCAAGGGCTAATTGTCAATTTACATGTGTGCACAAATTTCAAACACAGCTTTCAAGCTGTATGTGAACAAGCTAAATGAACTCCAGCAGCTCTGTTTGAATATAATGTTTCCCTGAAATTTTTGTTTCTGTGGCAGACACTTTAGACCTTGAAATCATTTTCGGTTGAATTACCATTCACACTCTGTTAATAATACCCAATACCAAATGCACATATTAAAATTTCCAAGAAATTACCATTTTCTTTGGAGTTGGGCTTCCCAGAAATCTCTCTCATGGATTTTAATGCCTGTGCTGTAAATGAACCAGCTTTTGCATTTCATTAGGACAATTGCTTTTATGACATATCCTAGGTGAGGGGCTGATAACTTTCCCCAAAGAGTGGATTATAACTATGTATATTGAGACACAAATATTGTTCATCTTTTCGGAGGCTCTCAACTTATCTCTCTTTCTCTCTTTCTCTTTCTCATTTTATCAGTGAGAAAGACCCATGTCAGGTCACCCTTCCATTACTGTATTTTAGTAAAACACCACACTGTGAGATACAGGATCTGTTTCTGGAGAAATGGTGAATGAACCAGATGACAGAGCCCAGAGGATAGGGAGTTAACTCCTCATGGAGTGAAACTAGGCCAGTTAGAAGTGAGAGATGGGAGATAGCTAGGCAAATACATTTCCCATTCTTTCTGTCTGTGGGTTACTCTGGAGAGAGGTTCTCCCTATAAACTTTCTGCAAAATCCTCATGTACAGAATTAACAACTCTATTGAGTGACCTGCTATGGCTTATTATAAAGTAGTAGCCAAGGTGATAAGACATTGCATTCCATTCTTACTTTGCTTCCTGTATCTTTCACTCTCACCTTCATTGCCATGATCTTGCATCCCCAGTAAAATGTTAACATTGATTCCTTGTCTTAGGATCTGCTTTCTAAAAGACCCAGTAAGACACAGTGTTTTCTGTAGATGTGGAGGAAGGAGGCAATTCAACCAGCTTAACACAGCCACTAAGACTCACAACTCTGAGTAAGCATCAAAATTATCTGTGATTCTTTTAAAAATACAACTTTTTTTTTCCTTTTTTGAGACTGAGTCTCACTCTGTCACCCAGGATGGAAGGCAGTGGCACAATCTCCACAATCTCAGCTCACTGCAACCTCCACCTCCCAGGTTCAAGCGATTCTCCTGCCTCAGCCTCCCAAGTAACTGGCATTACAAATGTGAACCACCACGCCCAGCTAATTTTTGTATTTTCAGTAGAGACGGGGTTTCACCATGTTGTCTGTTTTTTTTTTAAATTTATTATAATTATACTTTAAGTTTTAGGGTACATGTGCACAATGTGCGGTTAGTTACATATGTATACATGTGCCATGCTGGTGCGCTGCACCCACTAACTCATCATCTAGCATTAGGTATACCTCCCAGTGCTATCCCTCCCCCCTCCCCCCACCCCACAACAGTCACCAGAGTGTGATGTTCCCCTTCCTGTGTCCATGTGTTCTCATTGTTCAATTCCCACCTATGAGTGAGAATATGCGGTACCATGTTGTCCAGGCTGGTCTCGAACCCTTGACCTCAGGTGATCCACCCGCCTTGGCCTCCCAAAGTGCTGGGATTACAGGCATGAGCTATCGCGCTTGGCCAAAAACACAGATCTTTCACCAACCTCCTGCCTGAGCCACTCTGAGTTTCCAATGGTAGAGCAGCTACAGATTTACAAATCCCCTCCAATAATTTTGATGCACTGATAGGTTGCCTACAGTCTAGGGAACTAATACTACTCTGACCTTTCATAAGACAGGGAGTCGAGATCCAGGAATAGGAGATTATTATATCACTTCCCCCACTAGAACCAGTTAGCTAGACAGGCTTTACAAGTTTAGATTGAAATGCAAATATAACAAAGAAAACAACATAAACCCTTATCAGGGTAATGTATCATATCATGTCAAAATGTAATAAAATTTACACAAATTGATAAATCTCATTTGCCTCTCTAACTTAAGAAACCCAAAAAAGTGGCTTGCTCTGTAAGATCACCTACGTAGTTAATAAGCAACCTAGAACAAGAACCTGCCTCGTTATTTTTCAGGCCAGTTTTCTGCTCCACTTCCGACTGTGATGACAAGGCTGGGGCAAGAAATGATTTACCACGAAAGATGTTTTTCTTGTTGTTGGTGTTGTTTGCCCTTCATTTATTTATTTATTTATTTAGAAACTTTTATTTTAGGTTCAGGGGTAAACTTGCAAGTGTGTTACATAAGTAAATTGCGTATCATGGGGGTAAATTGCGTATCATGGGGGTTTGGCATACAGATTACTTCTTCACCCAGATGGTAATAAGCATAGTACTTGATAGGTAGTTTTTTTTTCTTTTTTCTTTTTTTTTTTTTTTTTTTTTTGAGTTGGAGTCTTGCTCTGTCACCCAGGCTGGAGTGCAGTGGCGCCATCTCGGCTCACTGCAAGCTCCGCCTCCCGGGTTCACGCCATTCTCCTGCCTCAGCCTCCTGAGTAGCTGGGACTACAGGCGCCCACCATGGCACCCGGCTAATTTTTTGTATTTTTAGTAGAGACGGGTTTCACCGTGTTAGCCAGGATGGTCTCGATCTCCTGACCTCGTGATCTGCCCGCCTCGGCCTCCCAAAGTGCTGTGATTACAGGCGTGAGCCACCGTGCCCGGCCCTTGATAGGTAGTTTTTTGATCCTCACTCTTCTCCCTCCCTCCACCCTCAAGTAGGCCCCAGCGTCTGCTCCCTTCTTTGTGTACTCAGTGGTTAGCTCCCGTTTATAAGTGAGAATATGCAGTACGTGGTTTTCTGTTCCTGTACCACAAAAGTTTGAGTGTAAAAAGAGGACCAAAAAAGAAGGCCAGAAATAAGAAAAGTGGTAGCAAAATGGAAAGCGAGGCCTCTCCAAAGGTATGTTTTTCTAACTTCAACTTGGGCTTGGAGTTGGCTTACATGCCCCCTCCTTGACTGAGTCACTGACAGCCACATCCTTGGACTTAATCTGACCTCTGATGCACACATTGTAAACCTCTGATAGGGTGAAAAAGACAATGAAACATGGTAAACATTTATTTTGGTTCTGCCTATCTCACTATGTAGGAAACCAAGAAGAAGAAACTAGGGAAACTTTCACGTGTTTGAGTTTCTTCTTTTGTGAGCTAGAGAACAAAAATTGGAACTTTGATGTAATAGTTTTCACTAAGAACAAAATACAGTATTAGATTCATTCACCTTGGATACTAAGATGACATGTTTTCACAGTTTATCATTTTAACAAGATTCTATTAGGATACATAGCTATTTAACTGAAAGTATTAAAAAGAAGTGAGTTAATGACAATCCAATAAAAAATTTGATTACTAGAAAGCAAAATAGAATTACTATTTATGCCATGACTGTATGAGCATTATGCCATAGTTGCTGTTCTAAGCATTTTATGTGCTTTTAAACATTTAATCACTGCCACAATCTTATATATAAGGTATTATTATTCTGATTTTACAGATAAAGGAAAAAGGTAGAGTTGGGTAGGTGGGTAGTTAAGAGGTTAAGGAGTTGGATTTGCAATTGAGATCCAACTCCAAAGCCCATTTTCTTTCTTCTATACTGTACGTACCATGGGGTTACCATAAATATTAGATAAACTTTAACAACTTCAGCTACATATCAAATGATATCATTAAGTAAAATCCTTAATTTAGAGATTTGGAAAGACATTCTTTTCTCTTTGCAGACTATCACATAGATAGTAGATTTGCTCCTCATGTGGAAATAAAAATGTTTTGAAACATATTCAATCTTCTTGAAGTCATTTTCAATCTCTTTTCTCAGGCTAACTAGTGTCAAACCATAAATGGCTATGATCCTCATCCAGCTAAAATTAGCTTTGTTTTAGTCGTGTTACGAAAAGCTGTTGGATGTGCAATAGGCTAAGAAAGTTGGATACAGATCACCTAAAAATGAAATAGCATAGGAAATAATTATTTTTCCACCAATAAGCTGTGCAAAAAATATAACATATTCACCAATGCCAGAGTACGTAAATCACAGAGTAGTTATTGGAATAGAGTTCTGAAGCACATGCCCCATTACTAATGAGTCCATTTTGCCTGAAGGGCTTTCTCCAGCCTCAGTCCTACTCTCTTCTCCTAGAGCATCAATTTCAGTAACTATCACCTTTTGTTAGAAATCCTCCCCCGATATTAAAATGTTCTGGCTTTCTTATCAGTGGATTCTCCCCCAATATTTTTTATCCAAAGAAACTTTACCAAAATATATAAAATAAAATGAAGTGTTTTATATCTTTTGTTTAACCTTTACTACTAGTAATATAACGACTAAAATTTATTGAGGCCGACTGCGGTGGCTCACGCCTGTAATCCCAGCGCTTTGGGAGGCTGAGGTGGGCGGATCACCTGAGGTCAGGAGTTCAAGACCAGCTGGGCCAACATGGTGAAACCCTGTCTCTACTGAAAAATACAAAAATTAGCCAGGCATCATGGCTCATGCCTGTAATCCCAGCTACTCGGGAGGCTGAGGCAGGGAGAATTGCTTGAATCCACGAGGTAGAGGTTGCAGTGAGCCAAGACCATGCCACTGCACTCCAGCCTGGGTGACAGAGCAAGACTCCATCTAAATAAAATAAAATATAAAATAAAATAAAATTATTGAGCACTTAGGTGTAAACAGGCACATTTCATATATTTTCTTTTTCACATTCCTCAACGCTTTGTGCCATAGGCATCATGATTTTCCTCTCTCTCTCTTTTCCTCTCTTGCTCCTTTTTTCTCTTTCTGTCTTCTCTTTCTCTTAAAAATGTTCAAACTGAGACTCACCAAGCAGAATTATTTGCATAGGATCACACATGCACACATGGGAGTCAGGCCTGCTCAACTCTCAAACCCAGCTCCTTTGCCTGTAAGGATTGCATCGGCAGGATGTGGGCCAGCCTATGTAAGGCTGTGGGTCAAAGAAAATAGATCCCCTAGGCTGCTTGAAGGGTGGTGGTGGTAGTGGTGGTCATTCTGTATTTGCTATCCAAAAATAACTGATATTATTAGATTGGTGCAAATGTAATTGCATTTTTCACCATCAAAAGTAGTTGCAAAAACTGCAATTACTTTTGCACTAATCTAACTACTTCAATTTTCTTGAAAATTTAGGTAAGACTGAGTCAGGTCCTCACTTTTTCTCAAAAAAAAAAAACAAAAACATAAAACCATAAAACAACAAAAACTTTAAATTTCCTTTTTTTTTTGGCAACCAACCAAATTGATTACATGATTCAAAGGCTTAGTCAGCTCTATTTTTCTCCAAAATACCTCAGCAGGCACTTTTTAACAGAAGACATACTTTTGATAGCTATGAATTAATTATTTTTGACTAATATTAGATTCTATTTCGTCTTACTACATTGAGCACATTTGAAAGATATTTCTGTGAGTCTGAACCCTGTGTATTTTAGAGTCCTTGGCATATGCAACTTTTTGTTACATTGCCCATGTTGTACCCAATAAAGTTAAAGACTTTTCAGAATTTCAGAACCGCTTTAGTGTGAGGGGGTTTTGGGGAATGCTATTACCCTCTCCCTATTTGACTCAAACTCCCATCTGACACCCTGGGCTGAATTTAAGTGACGCAGCCTAGCCCTTCTGCTTCTGCGGGAGATGACAGCTCTGTCTTCACGAGAATTTGTTAGCTGTTAGAACTCTGTGTTCTCCTGGTAGATACTTTAGGAACTTCTGATATTCACTCAAAACCCCAGGTGACATAAAACTCAGAAGAGATGCAGTGAAGAATTGGGAATGACAACTAACAAATACTAAAGTATCATTTCACCCAATTTCTGGCCAGGCAGAAAGGAGGAAAGGAGGGAAGGAAGGGAGGGAGGGAGAAAGGAAGAAAAGAAGGGAGGGAAGGGAGGGAAGGAGAGAAGAAGTGAGGAAGAGAGAGAGGAAGGGGAGAGGAAGAAAGAAGAAAGAAACAGAGGGAAAAAGAAACGAAAAGAAAAAAATGTTTTGGTTACGTGTTTTTGTTGCTAGATCTACATACACAAAGCCAAGTGGAAAGTTGAAATTAATTAGATGAGTAAACTAGAAGACAAAGCTTTGTAATAGATCCAGAGAACTCTGTGATATGACTGACCATCACATTAGTCTTACTGATAATACAGTTGTTTTGGCCTAAAAAGCAGTTGAAGGAGGAGTGGTAGAAGCTGGAGATATGTCTGGAGGAGGCAAGATGCAAATGAAGTGGAAGGCGGAGGCAGAAGGAGAAAGCGGGGGTGGGGGGGTGGGGGTGTGGGCGGGGGGTGGGGAAAGCAGAGTCGAGTAAGGCCTGCAAAGAGGGAGACAATATTCACCCTGAGAAAATAATTTCTTTTCTTTTTTTTTCTTTTTCTTTTTCTTTTTCTTTTTTTTTTAGAGGGAGTCTTGCTTTGTCACCCAGGCTGGGTGTAGCAGTGGTGTGATCTCGGCTCACTGCAACGATTGCCTCCTGGGTTCAAGCAAGTCTCCTGCCTCAGCCTCCCAAGTAGCTGGGATCATAGGCGTGCACCTCCATGCCCAGCAAATTTTTGTATTTTTGGTAGAGATGGAGTTTTGCTGTGTTAGCTAGGCTGGTCTCGAACTCCTGACCTCAAGTGATCCACCCACCTTGACCTCCCAAAGTGTTGGGATTACAGGCATGAGCCACTGCCACCCATCAGAAAATAATTTCTTATAAGCTTCTTAATCTTTTGAGTATTCTAAGAAGCCACAGTAGTTATTTCTTTATTATTTTTGATATAGGACTTCACAATTTATTAACTCTTTAAGACTATAATCTGAGTTTTATCTAATCTATCTCTTGAAATCTCTCTCCAAAATATATCTTAGTCATTTACTTAATAATCAATGTATTATTATGATCTAATGATACTACTTGGTATCATAAAATATTAAACAGCACAAATTTCTGTGTGGCATTAATAAGGAAAATACCTCATCAGGTCCATATATTTATAATAATAATTTCAAAATCACTTATATGGGCATTGATACAAAAAGTGTTTTGGAAAAATAAAACAAGGCTTTCCAACATGTAATAATAGTCACTTGAAAAGTGTCTTGCCCTCCTCTCATTCTGGTCTTCCATCATTTTCCAAGCTAACGAAATCTGATTCTCTAAATAAAATCACAGTAGATATGAATATCAGAACATCAGGAAAGGCTATCTTTCCTCACATCTGTATTCCACACAGAAAACCTAAGAGGCTGAAATGAAAGATCTTTTGGAAACTCCATCCTCAGTAGCTCGAAATTTTACACTTTTATATTTTCTCAGAAATCTGAATATAACATTCCCAGACATAATTTCCCCAATGCTTCCTTAAATTAGATAAGATAATATTGTTGTTCATCATCCAGGAATAACAAATCAATTGGTCTAAACATGAAAAATAAAACAATCTAAATGGATATACTTGTTTCTCCTTTGATAATATATGATTTGCTCATAAAGTTATGAATTAAGCTACTTAACAGGTTATTGAAAATCTGATCATGTGAACATTCTGTTTTTGGATGTTTTCTTGGACATTTTACAAGAAACAGAGTAAAATAGACACCAAATCCAACAGATCACCTAATGAAAGAGAAACAAATTTAGAAGTTGACAGTTCTGTGCTAGTATCAGTGTAAAAATACATGACAAAATCAAAATTATTCCCATGGCCTACTGACTACGAAAATTTGATTTTTTTTCCCCTGTAGCTGTTTAGGCAACTAGTTTTAACTCAAATATACAGTTTTGTAGTTTGGCTGTTTCATATGTACCATAAATTTGTTCACCTCTTTGTAACTACTGATAAATGCTCTTGATTTGAATTGTGTGATACATGTTTTGAAACAAAAATAAATGTCCTACACTTGTATATACTTTTCTGTTTACAAAACACTTTCATACACATTATCAGTTCTCACACTAAATCTATGAGCTAAATTACTTTGCCCATATTACTGAAAAGAAAACTAATGTTTAGGGTTACAAAATGACTTTCCCAAGGACACAAAGCTAGTCAGTAGTAGAAACAAGATGGCAACCCTCTTTATCTGTGTCTCAGCCCAGTCAGCGTCCTTTTCCTCTACACAACAATTAGCTCCTTCCAAGAACTACCCATGAATATAGGTACTGATTCCTACCTTCAAGAACCTTCTATCCCAACTGGGTCACAGAACTGTCCAGTCAAGACCAAGTCATCTATCCCTTTTTCTTTCAGTTATCTCTTCTGCCCCTGCTTTGTTTGAAGAGAGGTAATAATACCCAAACTTAGGAAATAATTCACAGCCCTCCAAGCAAATTGGCCTATTAAAAGCGTGCGTTCATATGCACTACTGTAAAAGCACAGTAATTAGATTTATACCTTATGCTCCCCAGCCAAGAATGGATTAAAATGGCTGTGTCCTTTCTAAAACTTCCAACCTTAAAACAGGGATTATCTTTTGCTTCAGAGTCACCTTCAGGTAATTTTCTCTAAACAGATAAATAAGTATAAAGTTGAATTTTCGTTTTTGGATGATTCTTTGCAGTTTTCCTTGAAATGCCAATTAAAATTTTTTTTTTCATATGTAACATACCCAAATAGAGGAACATACTAAAATTTAAAATTGGCATGAGGCTACTAGACATTCAGAATTTACTTAAACTTACTTGAATTTGCTTAGCAAATTTCCTTAACATTATTTCCTAGAGATGACAAAATCCTTTGCCTTAGAAAAGTCTAATAAAAATGTGTACTTTTACCTTTTGCTAGACAATGCAAAATCCTAAGAACATTTAAATTCCATTTATCACCATCTCTTCTCATACACTATTATTCTTCTTATGTATTTTAATTCTACATATTTTAAAATTCCACAGATATTATAATTATTATTGTCTTACATAGTCAAAATCAATTTAGATTTAGGAGCATATTTACCCCTTTTCTTGCTCTTCCTTCCTTTTTGCAGCTCTGAATGTCTTCTGAGATTATTTATCATCTTCCTAAAAAGTGCTTTCTATAATTTTAATTAAACGTCTTCAGCGGAAAGTTCTAACCACTCCATTGCCTTACCTAGACTCTAGTGATGTCTTTCTTACCACTTTTACTTTCGAAAGATACTTTCACTCAATATGGAACTTCAAGTTTGTAGTTGTTTTCTCTCATTATTTTGAAGCTATAATTTCATTGTATTCTTGCTTCTGCATTTTTTTTTTTTTTTTTTTTTTAGTGAAGACAACTGTTAGTATAATTTTTCTCTTCAATGAAGGTAATATCATTTTTCTCTGTCCAGTTTTAGGATTTCTTCTATAATTTTGGCTTTCAGCAACTTTGCTGTGATGTCTTAAAAACAATTTTCTTTATATTTATAGTGCTGGAGTTTATAGACCTTTTATAATATTGGGCTTTATATCTTCTACTAGTTTTGGAAAACTCCCAACCATTGTCTCTTGCAATATTGCTTCTACCACATTGTCTTTCTCTTCTCCTTCCAGTATTGCAACTATATGTATCTCAGTCCTTTTCACTACTTTTCTTCTTTCTCTTACACTCCAATTTTATTCTTTTTGATTTCAATTTGAAATTTTTTTGTCATATTTTTCAGGATAATATTTCTCTCTTTCTTCAATCTATCTACATTAAATTAAATATGCTATTGTTTTTAAAGTTCTTGAATTTCCATTCAGTTCTTTTTTCTTTTTAAATATGTTTTAGTTTCACATAAAAATCTTAATCTGAGTTTTCAACATAGTAAGCATAGATATCTTTAAGTCTTTGCCTACAAATTCCATTTTCCAGATCCTCTCTAGGCATTTTTCTATGTTTTATTTCTCTTGATACTCAGCCTTCAGTCATTTGTCCTCGTTCTCCTGTTTTGTGGTTTTTGGTTTTGTTGTTGTTTTACGGACGGGGTCTCACTTTGCCACCCAGGCTGGAGTGCAGTGGCATGATCATGGCTCACTTTAGCCTCTAGCTCCTGAGCTCAAGCAGCCCTCCTACCCCAGTCTCCTGAGTAGCTGGGATCACAAGTGTAAGCCACAGATCCTGGTTATTTTCAGCTGAGTGCAGGACATTGCATTTTTATAAAATGTAGAGATAATCTGTAACCTAGAATGGTATCTTTCTTTAACAGGAACTTATGTTTGCTTTTGGCAGGCAGTCAGGAATACTTGCAATGCTAAATGATCTTAATCTAATCATGAATTAAAATAATTTGTAGCTGGGTTTCAACCCCTGCAAGAATCTATTTGTTATTTTTCACCTTATTGTAGCTCTTTGGGATTTCAACCGAGAGTCATGAAGTTTACTACAATACCACGCTTTCCTTGCTGGGCCAGGAACTTCTATTTTCCCAGATCTGTAAATCTGTCAAAAATTCAGTTGATCTTCTTAGACTCTCAGCCACTAATTTTTGGAATATATGATGGCCTGAGGAGAAAAGAAACTCTCAAAGGAAGCTTTTATTTTTTCCCCCTCTGGCTTTCATTCTTCTCCTTCGTTTTGGTTTCTATAATTCCTCACTACCTTATTAGCTTTCTAATTCATCGGTAAGATGTATTTTTATACTGTGTCCAGGATTTTCAGTTGATCTTAGCAGACAGTCAGAATTTCCTAATCCACCATTACTAGGAGAGAAGCTCTGCACTATCGCAAGAAGAAAACAAATACAATAGTGTGTCTGTGGTACATAGGATCTTTACATTTGCAGCCAAAAAGGAATTTAGAAATTACCATTTAATTCAACTCTCTTGTTTTACAGATGAGCAAAATAATGGTAGCTGGTTAAGCCAGAAAGATTGGAGAAAAACCTGTCCCTCTGCATGCCCCTCTTTGAATGTGAGACCTTATACACATTTGGAGGAGGCATGAAGAGGCTCAACAGGAAGTAAAAGTTGGAGGAGAATACTGTCTTAGCTTTAAATGTGTTCTCCAATCCATACACAGATCCAATGGTAAAAGTGGAAACTGGTCAGGCGTGGTGACTCATGCCTGTAATCCCAGAACTTTGGGAGGCCGAGGTGGGTGGATCACCTGAGGCCAGGAGTTGGAGATCAGCCTGGCCAACCTGGTGAAACCCCATCTCTACTAAAAATACAAAAATTAGCCGGGTGTGGTGGCATGTGCCTGTAATCCCAGCTACTCCCAAGGCTGAGGCAGGAGAATCGCTTGAACCTGGGAGGCGGAGGTTTCAGTGAGCCGAGATCATGCCACTGCACTCCAGCCTGGGTGACAGAGCGAGACTCCGTCTCAAAAAAAAAAAAACAAAAAACAAAACAAAAAAACAAAGAGGTGGAAACTTTACTGAGAAAAAGTGTTTAAGCACAAGCTCTTACTAATTATTAACTGATGACGATATTATATAGATCCAAAGGTGACCACTAAAATGATAGGCTTAAAAATGAAAACAAAGATTTAATAAACAACAAACTGAGCAGAGACATCAGTGGCTATACTATATGGTGAGATAGATTCCACAGAATTATTCCAAGCAAGTCACAAAACAAGTAAACAAGGAAGCCAGCAAGCAAAAAATAATAACAAATACAACCACTGGGAGAGAGGATTTGGAATTTAGAATTTCAACAATGTAGTATCCAAAATGTCCAGTTTTCAACAAGAGATTACAAGTCATGAAAGAACTAGAAAGTGTGACTCATACAGAGGGAAGGAGATGTTTATTAGAAACTACATTTGTGAGGGCCCAAGTTGGACTTAGAAGAAAAAGCAACTATCATAATTACATTTACAGCATATTTAGAAAATCGTGTTTAAAGAATTAAAGAAAAACATGATGACAATTACCTAGCAAATAGAGAATATAAATGAAGCAGTAAAAAGTATTTTTTAAAAAGAAGAAAATGGAAATTTGGGGATTAAAAAGTACATTCAATGAAATAAAAATTCACTGGAGGTATTCAACAACCGATTTGAGCTAGCAGGAAAAATAGTCAGAAAACTTATAAGATAGATCAATAAAAATTAACTAATCTGAAGGACAAAAGTAAAAATGAAGAAAAATAGGGCTGCAGAGATATATAGGAAACCATCAAACATATCAACATATATGAAATGGAAGTCTCAGAGAAAAAAAGACAAAAGGGGAAAAATATTACTGAAGGAAGTTCTTCAGGATGAAAGAAAATGACACTAGACAGTGACTCAAATTCACATGAAGAAATAAAGACCACCAATAAGGTAATTACATACTAAAAAGTATATTTTTCTTTCAACTGATTTAAAAGCATACATAATACATTTTCTTGAAAAGATCACATGCTAGGCAATAAACAAGTTTTAATAACTTAAAAAGGCTGAGGGACTGGCGTGGTGGCTCATGCCTGTAATCCCAGCACTTTGGGAGGCTGAGGTGGGTGGATCATGAGGTCAGGAGATCAAGACCATCCTGGCTAACACCGTGAAACCCCCATCTCTACTAAACATACAAAAAACTAGCCAGGCATGGTGGCGGGCCCCTATAGTCCCAGCTACTCAGGAGGCTGAGGCAGGAGAATGGCATGAACCTGGGAGGCGGAGCTTGCAGTGAGCTGAGATCACACCAGTGCACTCCAGCCTCAGCAACAGAGTGAGGCTGTGTCTTAAATTAAAACAAAAGGCTGGAGTCAGACCAAGTATGTTCTCTAACTACAACAGAATTAAATTAGAAGGAAAAACTGAAAGAAATTTTGGAAATCCATGAACATTAAAAAATTTAACCACGCATTTCTTACTCATGAGTTCAAGAAGAAATCACAAAGAAAATTAGAACATTTTATACTGAAAGAAAACAAAACAACCTATCAAAATTCATGGGATGCAGCAAAAGCAGTGCTTAGGAAGAGAGTTGTTTGTATCTTTAACCTGATAGTAGAATATAAGAAACATATCAAATTAATAACTTAATCTTCCACCTTAAGAAAATAGAAAAGAAAAGCAAACTAAGTACAAATACTTCTGGAGAAAAGAAAAAAAATAAAGAAAAAGAAAAAAATAAAGAAGTAGAATCCATGAAATGGAAAACACAAAGCACTAAAGAAAAATTAATGCAAACAATAGTTGGTCGTTTAAAAGATCAACAAAATTGACTGGCTAAGGGAAAAAAAAGAGATAAAAGATATAAATTACCAAAACCAGGAATTAAAGAGCGGACATCACACAATCTCTATAGACACTAAAAGAAAGAGAATACTATGAACAAACTTGTGCCAACAAATTAGGTAACTAAGATGAAATGGTCAAATTCCTAGAAAGACACAAATTACTAACAATGACTAAAGAAGATACAGAAAATGGAATAGACTTATAACAATCAAAACTATTGGATTAATAACTAAAAAATTTCCCATGAAGAAACAACTAGGCCCAGAGGCTCCCTTGGTGAAATCTCTGCATTACTTTCATCTGCAATCCTCGCACTTTGGGAGGCCGAGGCAGGCGGATGACAAGCTCAGGAGATCGAGACCATCCTGGCTAACATGTTGAAACCCCATCTCTACTCAAAATACAAAAAATTAGCCAGATGTGGTGGCAGGCACTTGTAGTCCTAGCTACTCGGGAGGCTGAGGAGGAGAATGGTGTGAACCTGGGAGGTGGAACTTGCAGTGAGCCAAGATCGTGCCACTGCACTCCAGCCTGGGCAACAGAGCCAGACTCTGTCTCAAGAACAAAGAAAGAAAGAAAGAAGAAAAGAAAGAAAGAAAGAAAGAAAGAAAGAAAGAAAGAAAGAAAGAAAGAAAGAAAGAAAGAAAGAAAGAAAGAAAGAAAGGAGGGAGGGAGGGAGGGAGGGAGGGAGGGAGGGAGGGAGGGAAGGAAGGAAGGGAGAGAGAGAGAGAGAGAGAGAGAGAGAGAGAAAGGAAAGAAGGAAAGAAGGAAAGAAAGAAAGAAAGAAAGGAAAGAAAAGAAAGAAAGAAAAATTAATGCCAATACTTCACAAACTATTCAAGGTAATAGAAGAAAAGGGGATAGTTTCTAACTCATACTGTGAAGCCAATATTACCCTGTTATACAAGCTAATCAAAGATATTACAATAAAATAAAACTACACTGATATATTTCATATATATTGATATAAAAACCCTCAACAACATTTTAGCAACTCAAATCCAGAAATTAAGTAAATAGGATTATATAGTATAATCAAGTACAAGTACACTGTATCCCAGGAGCATGTAATTGCTTTAACATCCAAGGATCAGTTAATGTAATATATCATGTTAATAGGATAAAGGACAAAAATACATAACCGCCTCAATCAAATCAGAAAAAGCATTTGACAAAACTCACTCATTTACAATTTTAAACTCTCAACAAGGCCAGTGTGGTGGCTCACACCTGTAATCCCAGCACTTTGAGAGGCTGAGATGGGTGGATCACAAGGTCAGGAGATCCAGACCATCCTGGCTAACACGGTGAACTTCCTTAGCCTGAAAAAAGACATCTACAGAAAACCTACAGCTAACATCATACTTAATAGTATACTTTCCCCCTAAGACTGGAAACAACCCAAGGGTGTCTGCTGTTATCACTTCTATTAAACATATTCATGGAAGTCCTGGCCAATACATTTAGACAATGGAAATAAATGGCATCTACATTGGAAATGAACAAATTGAACTTTTCTTATTTGTAGATGACATTATCCTGTATGAAGAAAATTCTCAGGAATCTACAAAACACTACTAGTACTAATAAATTAGCAAGTTTGCAGAATACAGAATCAATATACAAAAATCAGCTGTATTTCCATATCCTAGCACTTAACAATCTGAAAATGAAATTACAAAAACAATTCTAATCATAATAGAATCAAAATAATAAAGTAATTAGAAATAAGTTTAACAAAATCAATACAAGACTTAAACACCAAAAAATATAAATACATCTGAAAGAAACATTAAAAGCTTTAATAAATGGAGAAACATTCCATGTTTATGGATTGTAAAAGTCAATATTGTTAAGATATCAATTCTCTTCAAATTAATGTACAGGTTTAATGCGGTACCTAACAAAATCCTAGCAAGAATTATTGCAAATTAGTAGTCTTAAAATTTACATGGAAATGCAAAAGAATCAGAATAGCCAAAACAGTTTTGGAAAAATCCAAAGTTGAAGAACTTCCACTTCCTGATTTTAAAATTTACTATGAAGCTACAATAATCTGGCATAAGGATAGACACACAGACGGTTTGTAACTTATAATGGTTTGACTTATGAATTTTTTTTTTACTTTACAATGTAATGATGTTACGCATTCAGCAGAAACCATATCTTGAATTTTGAAGTTAGATTTTTTTCCCAGACTAGTGGTATGTAATATAATACTCTCTTGCAATGATGGGCAGTGGTGGTAGGCCACAGCTCCCAGTCAGGCGTGCAATCACAAGGGCAAACAACCCATACTCTACAGTGAACTGTGTTGTCAGCCTTCTTCGGTATTATGTTTTGTGTTTTTGTATCCCATCATGTCAACAAAATGTCCATTTTTGACTTAATGACGTTTTCAACTTATCATGGGTTTATCACTATGTAACTCCATAATAAGTTGAGGAACATCTGCACAAGTCAGTGAAACAAAATTGATAGTACAAAAATAAACCCTTACATTTAAGGTCAATCAATTTCTAGCAAAGTTACCAAGGTTATTCAATGGGAGAAATGATGGTCTTTTTAATAAATGGTGCAGGGTCAGTTAGGTAACAACCTGCAAAAAGATGAATTTAGACTCATCTTACATTCTACAAAAAAGTTAAATTCAAATGGATTATAAACTTAAATGTATGAGTTAATATTAATACTATAAAGGGTTAGGCAGCACATTCTTAGATATGATACCTAAAAAGCACAATCCATAAAATAAAATATTGATAAATTTGATTTCTTCAAAATTTAAAACTCTTGCACTTCAGAAGACATCATTAAGAAATGAGAACACAAGCCATGTACTAGAAAAAAATTATTTGCCAATGAGATATCTGACAAATAACTTGTATTCAACATATATTCAACATATGTATGTATTCATACATACACATTCAACATATGTATGTATTCATACATACACATTCAACATATGTATGTATTCATACATACACATTCAACATATGTATGTATTCATACATACACATTCAACATATGTATGTATTCATACATACACATTCAACATATGTATGTATTCATACATACACATTCAACATATGTATGTATTCATACATACACATTCAACATATGTATGTATTCATACATACACATTCAACATATGTATGTATTCATACATACACATTCAACATATGTATGTATTCATACATACACATTCAACATATGTATGTATTCATACATACACATTCAACATATGTATGTATTCATACATACACATTCAACATATGTATGTATTCATACATACACATTCAACATATGTATGTATTCATACATACACATTCAACATATGTATGTATTCATACATACACATTCAACATATGTATGTATTCATACATACATATTCAACATATGTATGTATTCATACATACATATTCAACATATGTATGTATTCAACATATATAAAGAGCATTTACAACTTAGTAAGACAAACAACTCAATTAAAACAGGCAGGCTGGGCACGGTGGCTCACGCCTGTAATCCCTGCACTTTGGGAGGCCGAGGTGGGTGGATCACGAGGTCAGGAGATTGAGATCACCCTGGCTAACATGGTGAAACCCCGTCTCTACTAAAAATACAAAAAATTAGCCAGGCGTGGTGGCGGGCGCCTGTAGTCCCAGCTACTTGGGAGGCTGAGGCAGGAGAATGGCGTGAACCCACAAGGCAGAGCTTGCAGTGAGCTGAGATCGCGCAACTGCACTCCAGCCTGGGCAACAGAGCGAGACTCCATCTCAAAAAACAAAAAACAAACAAACAAAAAAAACAGGTAACAGGCCTTCTTCCCCACCCCACCTCCCCTCCACCCCCAGTGTTGCTGGACCTGTAGATCTGTGTTGAGCCACAGATATGAGTTTCTGTTTCTCAGGATGGGGTTTGTTAAAGTTGTCAAGAGTAAGGCCTACTTTAAGAGATACTAAGTGAAATGTAGAAGACAATGACAGGGTAAAACTGATTACTATGCTCAGAAATCCTTGGTGATATAAGATAAAAATAAGTACAACATGCCTAAATACAGGGTGATAGTTTGTGTAACAGATAGAGATATCATTTGTCAGATTGCTTATGCCCATATAGGAGGGAATATGATAATGTATGCAGCTTATGCATATGAACTGCCAAAACATGGTGTGAAGGTTGGCCTGACAAATTATGCTATAGCATACTGTACTGGCCTCCTGCTGGCCTGCAGACTTCTCAGTAGGTTTGGCATGGACAAGATCTAAGAAGTCCAAGTAGAGATGAATGGAGATGAATACAATGTAAAAACCATTGATGCTCAGCCAGGTGCCTTTACGTGCTATTTGGATGCAGGCCTTGCCAGAACTACCGATAAGCTTTTATGGGGTCTGGAAAGGAGTTGTGGATGGAGGTTTGTTGATTCCTCACAATATTAAACGATTTCCTGGTTATGATTCTGAAAGCAAGAAATTTAATGCAGAAGTACATCAAAAGCCCATTATGGATCCAAATGCTGCAGGCTACATGTGTTACCTAATAGAAAAAGATGAAGATGCTTACAAGAAATGTTTCTCTTAATACATAAAGAACAGCATAACTTCAGACATGAAGGAGATGTACAAGAAAGCTCACGCTGCTATATAAGAGAATCCAGTCTATGAGAAGAAGTCCGAGAAAGAAGTTTAAAAAAAGAAGTGGAACCATCTGAAAATGTCCCTTGCCCAGAAGAAAGATCAGGTAGCTCAAAAGAAGACAAGCTTCCTCAGAGCTCAGGAGCAGGCTGCCAAGAGCTACCTACACTGAACAATTTTCTGTGAGAATTTTTCAGATAAAGACAATAAACTTATTGACTAAACAAATAAAAAAGAAATAAAAAACCAAGCAAAATATTTGAATAGCTATTTCACCAAAAAAGATGTATGAATGCTAATAAACACATGAAAAGATTCTCAGTGTTGTTAATCATTAGGAAAATGAACATCCAAATCACAATGAGATATAATTTCATACCCACTAGGTAGCCATAATCCAAAATACAAATAGAGACAAGGGCTAACTAGAATGTGGAGAAAATGGAGTGTTTACACATGGCTAGTGGGAATGTAAAATGGTTCAGCCACTTTGGAAACAGTTTAGCAGGTTCTTTAACAAGTTACATATAAATTTACCAAGTGACTTTGCAATTCTCTTCCTAGGTGTCAGCCCAAGAGAAGTTAAAGCACATGCCCATACCAATATTTTCATGTGAATAACACTCTCCATAATAACCAAAAAGTGGAAACAGTACAAATCTCCAACAACTGCTGAATGGATATACAAAATGTGGTATATCCCTACAATGGAATACTATTCAGTAATGAAAAAGGAAAGAAGGACGGATACATGCAACAACATGGAATAATCTCCAAAACCTTATGCCAACAGAAAAAAGGTAGGCGCAAAAGACTACATTTGTATGTATCCTTTTATATGAAATGTCTAGGAGAAGCAAATCTATAGAGACAGAGCAGATTAGTGGTTACCTAGGGCTAAGGTAGGAGAAGGGACGGACTACAAACACAAGCAGAGGCTCTTTTTGGGTGATAAATATGTTCTAAAACTCATTTTGGTGATGGTTGTAAAACTCTGTAATTTTACTAAAAATTATTAAATTATATACTAACATTTTTGTAGTATGCAAATTATACCTCAATAAATCTTCTGTTTTGGCCATTCTGCAGACGTAAAACAGCACCATCCAAACTTGAGGTTTCAATATTGAGACAGATGATGCCACGGACACACCAAGAGGGTATGAAAAAGTTTATAATGCACACAATGAGACTTTCTGGGGATGGCAGAACAGACTTTCCAAATTGGTCTGGTAATGACTTGAATAGCGAGAAAGGGGAGACCAGCTTGGGGTTTTTATTGCGGTTAGGTGGCAGGACTCGGGTGAGGGTTCTCCTTATGGGCAGGACTTGCATGATTTGAAACTCCCACAATTACCAAAGAAGGGGATATCTGGAATTTATTATAGGCTTCTCCAAATGTGAGCTGAAGGGGATGAAAGATAGGTGTGACTTCAAAGCCGTCAGCAGTCAAATGTCAAAATTGGAGTCAAGTTCTTTATTAAAACTGTTTAAAAAATTATTTTCTACTAGAAGGTCTTGACTTATTCCTGAAGTTATTTTACATATTCCCCATGCACACCACAGTAAACTTTTCCTATGGCCCTTGCCAATCTTTGTTGTCCATTCATTATTCCCCTCAGTAGACGATGAGCTGCTGTGATCTTTAAGTCCCAATTCTTTCATAATATGTGGAATACGGTAGACACCATAATTGTTAAAAACAGGTGACAGACTATGTGGAGTGATTAAAAGCAGAAAAGAAGGGAGCAGAAAAAAATCAAGTGGCAGCCGGGCGTGGTGGTTCACGCCTGTAATCCCAGCACTTTTGGAGGCCAAGGTGGTCGGATCACTTGAGGTTAGGAGTTTGAGATCAGCCTGGCCAACACCATGAAACCCCATCTCCACTAAAAACACATAAATTACCCAGGTATGGTGGTGCACGCCTGTTATCCCAGCTACTTGGGAGGCTGACGCAGGAGAATTGCTTGAGCCCAAGAGGAAGAGGTTGCATTGAACTGAGATCATGCCACTGCACTCCAGCCTGGGCGACAGAGTGAAACTGTGTCTCAAAAAAAAAAAAAAAGAAAAAAAAAAAAATCAGGTGGCTAAGGAAAAATCTTCCCGAAAAACCATGCTCCTTCTATTTTCTACCTCAAGCTCTATGGATGGCTTCATCTTAGATTATTTGACTTCTTCATGTTAAGAAAATGGAAAGTAATAGTTTAATGAAAGTGAAGTTAATATTTTCTTTGTTGCCAAAGAAACAATATTATATGAACCTTAATTGTTTCTTGGTTGACTACTAAGTATATACTTTCAATATTATGTTTTAGTATCCTTAATTCTTGCCCTTTTACTTCAGCTCCTTACATTCAGAAAAACATTAATCCTATGATTCTGGGTATACCTTGTAAACCTTTCTCTCCAGTCTCTTATCTTCCAATAAGTTCCAGGCTCTACAATACCATCTTTATTCATTGCCTGGTTGACTATAAGTCCTTATTTGCCAAAGAAAGTTCCAATTTACTGTTGTTGTGAAGAAATTATTGATAGATGATTTTTAAGTAATTCAGCCTGGATATTAACTTATGTAATCATGCTACACATTATCCATGGATAGACTTCAGCAATTTTTAACTAGGATGGCAGACCATTCAATTTTAGATCAATCTTATATAACTGTATATAGCTATGCCATAGTGTTGTAAGGATATTTAGCTTTGTTAGATCTTTCTTTATATCTGTGTGTGTATGTGTGTAAATAATTTATAATATAAAGTCATTGAGAAATCACCGACTTAACAGTCTTATGCAAAAGTGCTAGTCTTGGGTATAAATCATGCCTAACTAGGTAAATCATATAATCTCTTTGAGTCTCAAATTCTCTGTAAAATGGAAGTAAAAATCCTTGCCTTGCAGTACAGCAAATAATGACATGTGGTTGGAAGCTCTTAGAAAATTTTGTAATTTCACACAATTTTAAGATAGTATTAAACCTATTTTCAGCTCCTAAAGAGATGACCCAGATATATAATCAGCTGGGAACACAAGAGAATCATATACAAATATTATCAAGAAGCCAAGAGCTTGTCCATACACAGACTGTAAGTGGTTTGCAAGTTCGGATGAAGGAGTGATGTGATCAAGGATAGTCTTTGAGGTGTGTGGCAGATCCTTCTGACTCACTAACTCAACACCCACTTCCAATCCATTCCTCTTTACCTAATTGTATTATGAATGTGGGAAATTTAAGTGTTAATTTGTCATGCCTCCTTGCCCATGCATTTGGCAGGCAATACATTTTTTGGTCAATAAAATACAAAATAATGTCTCTCTCTGGGGTCACTTGGGAAAACTTTTGCTAACTTGATAAGAGGACAGATAAGGGGAAGCAAAGCTCCTTCCCCACTCTTTTTTTCCTTGACATGATGGCTATCAAGTGATGATGCCATAAAAGTCCAGCAGACTAAAGATGATGCAGTGGATTGCCTCCCTCCGGATCTCTTATTCTATGTGAAAATCAATTCTTTATTGAGCTGTTCTTAGTTGGATTTGTTGCAGGCAAAATAACTTTTTAGTAACACAAGACATTTACTTTGTGAGAGGTAAATGATTTCTCTAGTCAAGTACTGGCTGGAAGAAAAACCCCCATTGCAATGGCTACAGCTAGAACAAGCCCATTTAAATACAAAGGAGGCAAACATAGTATAACAGGTTTTGTTTCCCTGAATTTTGTTCCAGTAACCAGGGCCCTAATCTAGTGCTGCTGACAGGATTTCTCACATATGCTCAGAATGCCCACTTGGTTTTGGCCTCTGTTGTTCAGCACGTGTTTCTTCAGAGGGATAAGTAGGTAGATAATAACTATGTGGAGATGAATATTTGAGTCGACATGTGAAAGTACTTTCTAACAACTAGGGCTGCTCAACATGACCCACGTGGCACTTACACTCTTCTAACAAACCAATCCACTGGAGAAGCCATGGAATGGGCTTCCTGAGTGGAAAGCAGGGTGCTTTTAACTCTGAAAGTCTAGACTATCTGATTATGGGTCTGTATTAGAAGTTACCCTTGTGCAATAAGAAGCAGCCTCTTCCCATAAGGAGTTTAGAACATAAGAAATTCTCTGGTGAAGAAAGAAAGATATTGACATAATAAGGAAGTTGTCTATATTGCCTTATTCAAACCTTGGTGAAAACTTAGCTTATTTTGTTTTATATGTGCATTGGGGAGTACAAGCTATTTTCATGCAGTCACCTGTCTGCTTCTGGGGATACCAAGTGACCATTTAGAGTGCTGGCCCAGGCAGCATGGGATTCCAGTTTTCTACTGTTATCTGGCTCAGAAAGCAGCTCATGCAGGCCAAAAAGAAATGAAATGATGATTGTACTGCAGACAATGTAACTGATCTCTTCCTTTAAATGCTAAAGGGACAAAAGTCATTGAGGATAATTTTGTCTACATCATTTCTCCAAGTCTGAATAGCCATGGAATTTCAGACATTTACAGGACTAAGAATTTCTAGTTAGTCTGCAAATTTATTCAAAATTATTTTATGGGCCAGGCACGGTGGCTCACGTCTATAATCCCAGCACTTTAGGAGGCTGAAGCAGGTGGATCACCTGAGGTCCAGAGTTTGAGAACAGCCTGGCCAACATGTTGAACCCCCATCTCTACTAAAAATACAAAAAATTAGCCAGGTGTTGTGGCAGATGCCTGTAATCCCAGGTACTCTGGAGGCTGAGGCAGGAGAATCGCTTGAGCCTGGGAGGCGGAGGTTGCAGTGAGCCAAGACTGCACCACTGCTCTCCAGCCTGGGCAACAAGAGCGAAACTCTGTCTCAAAAACAAAAACAACAACAAGAACAACAACAAACTATTTTATGTTAGTCACTTTATATGTATTATCCAATTTAATCCTCACATTAATCATTATCCCTATTTTACAGCTGAGGAAACTGAGACATAAGAAGTACAAGTCCCTTAGCAAATTAACGTGGGAACAGAAAACCAAATAATGTGTGTTCTCACTTCTAAGTGGGAACTGAATAATAAGAAAACATGGACACATTGGGGAAAACAACACATGCTGGGGCCTGTTGGAGGGTTGGGGGTGGGAAGAGAGAGAGGATCAGGAAGCATAGCTAATGGATGCTGGGCTTAATACCTAGGTGATGGGGTGATCTGTGCAGCAAACCACCATGGCACACATTTACCTATGTAACAAACCTGCACATCCTGCATATATACCCCTGACCTTAAAATAAAAGTTGGCAATAAAAAAAGGAAGGATAAATGATTTTTACAAGGTATCAATATCTAATAAGGAACAGAGTAAGATTCAACTCTAGGTTTATTTTGGCTCCAAAACTTATACTCTTACTATGCTATTTATTTGCTTTGTATTATTTAATGGTATATGTTTGCCGAGTTCCACTCAACACTTTTTACCATTTATCTAGACAAAGAGAAACTGCAATCACATGGCAGCTGCTCAGTAATTCCCTTAGGGCATCACTGTGTGTGGTTAAGATACAGCATAATAAGATGGACAAGCATGGTAAAGTGCCTTATATCAAAACAGGACAGATAGATATGCATAGGGGGCATCTGAACCATGTATCTTTAAAGTTATTCTTCATGAACTCCAACCCTTTCATTTTACTGAAGAAAATCATCAAGGTTATTAGGTGTCAAGGAATATTTTTTAAAAGCAGTGTCAGAGCAGAGAGAGCCATTGCTCCTCTTCCCTGGACCCTTTCTCTTAGTTGCTACCCAATCTCTGACGGTCATGTTTATTATTTAATTTTAAAAGAAAAACAACATATTCAAGCATTTTAGATAGTAAAGTTCAGATACTACAGCCATTCTGTAGTAAGAGAAGAAAAGGAGTCCATGCTTTGTTTGAAGCTTGTACCACATAATATATTCTAGATAATGATGACTTAAGTGCACATGGAAGTATGTATGAATATGTAAGCACTTTGAAATTCAAACAAACCCTATGGGTTAATCTTTATCTGAAATAGAAAATGACCCAGACCAGCACACCAACATACACACAGAAGAAGGACAGCACATATTTATCCTTTGTAAACTTCTTGCATGTTTTATGGCTTTTGCTGCCTAGAAATTTCTTTTCAGGACTAACTAAAACGGCTCTTACAAAGATTTAAACTCATATCTTGCTATGCTGTATTCTCCACAGACAGACAGCAGGTGGGGAGTTTAGAAACAACGTTTCAGGAGGTGAGAGGGTAGGGTTTTAACCAGGGTATATGCTTCTCACAGCCTCTGCATCCTTCTATGAGAAATGATTGTGTTGGACTTGAACTCTTAAGTTTGTTATTGGCTCCAAAATACCATAATGCTATGAAAATAGGTGCCAATTGTCCCTGTCGAATTTTAACCCCTCTAGAGTAGGATTAGAAGACATAGCATCTTCTAAATCTGATGCTTCCATTATAGAACTGTTTATCCCAGTCAAAATGGATCAGTAACAGGGTTTATAAAGGCCTAGATGATCAAGCGGTTAATCATGCTTAAGCAGAGGGAAGATAACACAATTTTCAACATTCATTTTTTTCTTATTTTAAAAATTGGCTTCTATATGCCCTCAATCTTCACGAGCAAGGAAGAGACACTCCACAGAGATATTGCTAGGAGGCTAAATGAACCACATGGCATGTTGAAGCCTGTACATCAGCAGATGCTGCATCTTCTCCCCTGTAACAACTCACCTTTCTTCACTGAATGCTACAAACTCTTAGCCCTTAACTCTGTTAAACTCATCTCTATGTGTTGTAACCAAGGCAGTCCTTGTGCAGAAAACAGGCATGCATCTTATGCATCTAAATCCACAAAGCCAAAGATAGCATGTGTACCTCTTTATTTCTGCATAAAAGAACACCAAGTTTACACTTCCACTTTATTCTACACCTTTTCTTTATTTGGAATCAATAAGTGGCAGCAAAAGGGGCAGAGAAGGGACTTTCTGAGTATGTATATTAGTCTGTTTTCACGCTGTTGATAAAGACATACCTGAGACTGAGAAATTTACAAAAGGAAGAGTTTTTTTGGACTTACATTTTCACATGGCTGGGGAGGCCTCACGATCATGGAGGAACACAAGGAGGAGCAAGTCACATCTTATGTGGATGGCAGCAGGCAAAGAGAAAGAGAGTCTGTGCAGGCAAACTCCTCTTTTAAAAACCATCAGATCTCGTGAGACTTATTAACTATTGTGAGAACAACATGAGAAAGTCCTGGCCCCATGATTCAATTACCTATCACTGGGTCCTCCCATGACACATGGGAATTGTAGGAGTTACAATTCAAGATGAGATTTGGGTGGGGACACAACCAAACCATCTCAGTATGCAAAGGCAATAACAAAACAAAACAAAACGGAAAACTACATAAGAAATTTACATGTACATAATTATTATATTTCAGGAAAAGGCTTCTTTGTTATTTTAATTTCAGAACAGCATTAAAGACTACAAAACAAGATTTTAAGCACTTTCCTGCTGAGCTGATGACTTATTTTTTTAATTTGTTATAACCACACAAAAACATACATTCTTTGGAGACCTCATTAGCCTGAGTGCTGCATGTATTATTTGCTTTAAGAGATGGATGAGGTAGCAGAGGCAATTTCTTATGGAATCCCTTGGTTTTCACCTCCCTGCTCCACACCCTTCCCTACAAATTTGGTTGCCAATTCAGCATTATGAATTTATTAAGTGTTCCTGGTGTGTTTAATGGGGGAGAGAGAGAGAAGGTATAAATTGTAGGCTAAAAAATAAACAAAAAACAAAAAACTCTGCTTTCTACATTCGCCCTGCATCTTTTTGCTCCAGTGCGATAGAGGACTCTCTCATCTTCCATAAGATATTCATGTTCACATTTAGCTTGAGGCCCTCAGTGTTCCTAGAGGGTTTTAAAACCCTCAATGTTGCAATAATGTTTCAACCTGTGGTTTTGGATATTTCCAGGGACTAAGTCATCCCCCAAGTCTCCACAGAATACCCATGCTACCAGATTATGAGGTCATCATTATTACCCTTTCTTGATAGTATTACCTTCTAGTCTAGGATTTTTGGTATTTTGACTTATTTTTTAAAATCTTGCTATCTAAAAGAATAGTAAAAGGTAGTTCAGAGCTTAGGTAAAAGACATAAAAGTCATCTGTGTTACATATGAGTGTTTGAAGGAGAAGTTAAATATCTGTCTGCTAGTGGTAATGAACTAAAGCCCTCCCTGTATGCATTTTCCAGGAATACCCCTGAGGGTAAGCACCACAAAATGGCATGGATTCCCCATCCTGCCAGTAGTACTACTAGCTCTGTAGCATAAATGAGGGTCAGGTGATAGGAGCCAAGAGGATTTTGACAAAAGCAGCATTTCTCACAGCTGCAGAAGGGCTGCCACAAAAGAAAATTTAGGAATTCAAAACTTTCTCTGACTCTTATTGCAAATTTAGATGGCTACTGTTGTATAACAATAGAAATGTAAATCGAGACCTAAAAATGTTTCTTGGGTGGAAAAATGTTTACTACACGATATTTAGTGAAATAAGAAAAATGCAAAACTAAATGGTATGAACTCACATTTGGAAAAGAACAGAAATGAAGCTAAAACAAAACATCAGAGAGAGAGAGAGAGTTTAGAAAGAGAATGGAGGTAATTAGACAAAAATGTTAATAATAGATGGTAAGATGATCTATGGTTATTAAATTTTTAATACATTTTTGTGTTTTCTATAAAATAACAAAATAGATATTCTAAACATATATTTAGGGGGAGAGAGCTGTTAAGAAACTGTCTTACAGCCTTAACTGGTTTAACACATAATGATCACATCTTTCACATTTGTGCCATCTTGTCATGAATTATTTCAATTTTCCTCCTCCATAAAAATTTTCATCTCGCCTGTTGGAGGCTGAAAATTGAAGGCACTAATAAGTCAAATGATCTTTCAATTCCCATCTAATTATAACAGAGTTTAGATCGATGAAAAATCTTAAATGTTTATTTTGAACAAGGTATCAGGGCTGAAAACAAAAGTTGCTGGGCTAGTAAAGGACTGAATGTATCATCATGAGAAATAAGTTAGAAAAGAGTATAAAGTGGTAAAAAAAAAATTTAAAAGAGACCATTGTTTGCAAGAAAATAAGCAGGGTAAGTTGTGTGATCATATTTCTCACATTAGAGGTGAGATCTCTGATAATCAACAGTTTGTCCCAGTTGGAACATAATCACAATGTTTATTTTTCTTTTTCTTACCATGGGGAAACCTAAAACATGTACTCCACGAGTAACAACGATAACTATTATTTATTGGTTGTGTGCCATGTGCCAGATTTATCAGGAAACCTGTAGTACAACATTTTACACATATTGTTGTGTTTAATTCTAAGAAAATATCCCATCTTTATAATAACAAAATTGTGGCTGAGGTTAAGCCACTTGTCTAATGACACACCCATAAAAAGTGTATAACCCACACTTGAACCCATGTCTGTCTGACCCTGAGCCTATGCTTTTTCCAACATTCTACAAAATCCTACAACAGGTAATGGGAACACAAGATATTATCTAAAAAGCTGGTTGGGCTAAGAGAAAGCTAGGATTCCTCTCAGGGAGATAACTTTACCTTTGGTTAGGAAGTCACTTCAATTTAATATTGGGTTATGAAGGTTGAATTAGTTGGGATAAGACAATAGCAATTAAGTGATTTAAGGCATATAGAAATGTCTTTCTCACTATCATAATGACCTAGGGGGTCCCAGTTCAGGGCATGGCTCTCCTCCATGTGACTATTCATGAGCCCAGTCAGAGGTCATCTCCACCATCTTCAAGATGTGATTTCCAATATGTAACCACTCCAACCCTTGGGAAGGAGGAAAGAGCACAGAGGAGCACACACATGAGTATCTACAGGTCAAGCTTGGAAGAGGCCCCTGTCAGTTGCACTAGCATTCTGCTAGTGGGAGCAGAGTACCCTGGCAATGCCTCCAGAAAGAAGACTTGAGTTGAAAAGACAAAGAAGAGCAGAGGTTCCGAAGGCAGTAGAAATAGGAATTGTAGCTAGAGCCAAAAGGAAAAGCCCTAATCAGTCTTGGAGAAATTTGGGCAGGCTGAGTTTCCCAGAGTATGGGCTTTGGGGCATCCAGCCATTTTCTTGAAATATTCACTGAGGGTAGTCCCAGAATGCTGGAGAATTTGAGGATATTCTGGTTACAAATAGCATGGATAGCTGTGGTAGAGAAGAGTGATCAGTAAACTTAAAAGCAGAAATTCAGGCATCTTAATCCAGACTTTGCTACAAACTAGTTGTTTGATTTGGGGTAAATCTCTCCATCACCCTAAGCCTCAACTTTCTATGTCATTAAATAAATAAAAAATGTTAATTACTCCACAGGGTTGTTGACTAATGAAATGAGATAAAGTATGTGAAACACATTGGGACTTGTAAAATGCTATACAAATGGAAGGTAAAACAGCACCACAGACCTAGAAAATGCATTGAATATGACCTTTTCACATGTGTTTGAGGTATGTTCATGGTTAATAGTGGGGAGAAGAGCAAGGGCTAAAAAACACTACGAGGGTGAAAATACACTGACAAAGAAGCTATTTGGGGTTGGAGGAAGATTTGAGTGAAGAAAAAAAAAAAAACATACATCAGTGATACATTAGTCATGTTTTGAAAGGAATTTTGCCAAAAATTTGATCAATCTTTTCTTCAATATTTGATATTTTTACCCAGTGAAAAGACCAAGACATTTAGAAATGCAGTGCACCAGAGAAATTGCACGTATTTTAGATTTAAAATCTAGTTGGCAATTAATTTTGCTTGTGTGTGTGTGTATGCATGCGTGCATGCACGTGTGCATTTAAACGATGCTTTCTAATAGCTTTGATTGCTGCAGTTTCCTAGATTTTACTTGCCTTTTGCTCTGTAGAGTTAATTAAATACCACAGAAATGTATTTACTATCTCAAGTTCCACACACTCGTGAGGATTTTGTCATTGACTTTGGTCCAAACAGGACACCTTTAGGAACATAGCAACACTTATCTGCTCTTGGGAAAAGCTAATGTGTCATTGACATGTCAGTATTGCTATTTCACCCCTTAATGTCCCTGGCTCACCTAGTTCTTATGTATATCAAAAATATCCTTGGAACTAGGAGTTAATTTCTACATACTTTTAGACTATATTTCCCAGTGAAGGGTGCACAGGGCCTCCTTGTACATTTTCTTACAACTTCCTGTCATCTGTAATTGCTTCAAAAATAAATACTTTTTCCTACATATATATAAATAAATGTATATTACATATGATATATGTAAATATATATAAATAAATATATATTACATATATGTAAATATATATAAATAAATATATAGAATTTTTTTTTTGAGACAGAGTCTTGCTCTGTCGCCCAGGCTGGATGGAGTGCAGTGGCACAGTCTCGCCTCTCTGCAAACTCTGCCTCCCAGGTTCAAGTGATTCTCCTGCCTCAGCCTCCCAAGTAGCTGGGATTACAGGCATGTGCACCATCATGCCCGCTTAATTTTTGTATTTTTAGTAGTTATGGGGTTTTGCCATGTTGGCCAGGCTGTTCTCAAACTCCTGACCTCAGATGATCTGCCCACCTTGGCTTCCCAAAGTGTTGGGATTACAGGCGTGAGCCACCATGCCTAGCCTCCCTACATATTTCTATTACATATCAGAGTACAGAAAATTTACTTGGAACTCTGGTTAAAGCATTTCTGTCACCTTCCAAATGCAGTACTTGAAATGCTACCCACTGGGTTTCAGGTAAAAGAGGATTTTCCATTCAGATGCTATCCAAGTTATAGGACAAAAAGGATTTTCTAAAGTTAGGTTTCTTAGTAGAAGGCATCCTTTTAATTCAGAAGCCACTGTGAAAAAAAAATTAAAAATGCAGTCGTTAGAGCTAGGTTCTTCCCTTTGACAAAACCCCCAAGAAAAAAAAAAAGGACACTCTGTAGATTTATAAAAATCTATTGGGTGGGCCTTCTCAAAGCATTGTGATCCAACCAAAGCACTGTTACTTGGCATGTATTTTAACACTTCAAAGAATATTTACTGAAGGTTTTTAATGTGAAAGCTACTGTGCTGGGATTGTAGAGAAAAATGAAGACACCATCAAAAAAACCCAGTCACTTAGGCCATCATCTTTAATCCCTTCCTCATTCTCTGCATCCAAATAGCCTGCAGGTTCTATAGATCCTACCTTTTCCACAACTGCCACATCATTCTCTCTTATTCCCATTCCCATTGCTACTTTCTAAAGTCATAGGACCAGCTCTCCCCAGAATAACAATAACTGTGCCTCAGACTTGTCTCTCTCCAATTCTTTTGTAACATCACCATCAGTATTATTTTTTTCAAATTGAAATAGCATGTTGCTTTTAAAATCCCTTATTGACTCACCATTACCTAAGCTATCTATTTTCAATTCCCATTTTGTACAGTGAGAAACTTCTTTAAAGCAAAGGAACCTCAACATATTAAACAGTTGAAATCAATTGGTATTGTATGATAATAATTTATCTGATGAATCCAAACTAGTTTATTATAAGCCCAGTCAATGAGAACATTGAGATATTGACATTATCACCAAAATTTGAAAGCAGACTTGTGTATAAAATTGTAATCTTGTATCAGCCTCAATATCCAGTTTTATTTCTGAGTTTGGTTTAAAATTTAGAGTAGTTAAAAATAAAATCCACCCTAATTCACACTGATAAATACTTGAAATTAGGAACAGGTTTCTAAATAGTTACTTTTGCAAACTCATGGTATTTTTTTCAATTAAATAGAATGACAGAAGCTTTATTTTGAGGATTGTGCAAAAGGATGTGAATTTGGCAGCACAAGTTAATTGCACTGGTCATCTTTAGTATATTTCAATATGGTTTCTTACATATTTGTGAGGGGTTCCTCCTTTAATTGCAGTTATTAAAATAATTTTAAAATATAACAATATAAAATTCAAATCAACAACCATAAAGCAGAATCAGGTCCAAACTTCTTAGCATATTAGTGTGGCCTACGAAACCCTCTATTATCTTGTCCTTGTATACTTTCTCCAATTTTGTCTTCCCATCTTTGTCCCCAGGCTCTAGCCCCTATCAATTATTTTTGGTTCTTTAAAAATGCTGTGATTGTCAACCTTTGGTTTCCTGTCTCTCACGTTTTCCTCTGCCTATAATGTCCTTAGAGTTTTCCCTTCTATAGAATCTCACTTCCCTCCAGAAGTTTTGGCCACTCTCCTTATGCCCCATCTACTCAAGGGAAAGGAATCTGCATTATACCCTTTATTGCATTTATTTGTTATTACTTGTAACCTTCATCCCCAGACTTGATGGAAGGACCATGTGTTGTTCATGTTTGCAGTAAATTTACATTGTGTCAAGTTAGCTTAGCAGGAAATACAATTCCCAGAATTCCCTGTATGGCTTTTCATTGGGGTTGGCATAAGCGAGGATTGTGCAAGATTCAGAGGCATATGTGTATCAGCAGCCATTCATCCCTGGAGGTCAGCGTAAGGTACCAATGGCTGCAGCAGCTCACAAGCATCGTTGCTGATTCTGGCTCATGCTGTGGTGAGAGAGCAGCTGCTGAGCCCACAGCTTCTCTAGGCCCTGCCAGATTCCACTCCGGAGCTTCTCCAAGTCCAGGGCCAGCCACGTTTGCAGCTCCATGGCAAAGGAGAGTAGCTTCTTCTGCAGATCATGCATGTCATTGATTTCATGCATTCCGTGTTGCCTTTACAAGTTCTGTTTGTCCTCACTTCCCCTGCTTCAGATCCAGCGTTTCTTCCCAACTGCTGACCTGCCATGTTTTCGGGTCCACCAGACATAGCAGTAACAGCCTTCTGTGGACTTCCTCATGAGTGCCTGCAATTGAGTAAGGTATAATTCCTAGAATAAATTACTTACTTGATATCATTCATAGTATTTCTACTTCACAGATCAAGCCCTACCTTATACAATATTACACTCCAGAATGTAATTCAATATTTGATCCTCAGCAGGTATTTGTTCAATAAATACTCTTCACTCTCATTAACAATCATCATTAACCAATCTGGTGGCAAAAGTAGGAAAGATATAAGCCAGAGAAGAAATTAATGAGAACCTTAAGGTTTGGCTTTATAGATACGAGAACAATAAGTCATCTTAGATATGATTATGTACAAGGTGAGTTCAGAGGAGATAAATATGTATAAAACAATGTCTGCACATTTTTTTTCTGGGGAGAGATTGGGCCCATTGCTTTTTAACAGATTCTGAAAGGACCAGTGTTATAGGTACAGCCTTTATTTTATAGATGTGAAAATTATAGCTGGGAGATCTTCACAACACAACAGAATAGTAACAGAACACAGGCCAGAACCAGGTCTTCTGATCTTAACTTTTATTTTCCTTGAACTCTAGCATGGAAAATGGCACTAAAACAAAATTTTAATAACAAAAATACTGCAGCAGGGGAGAGACAATGAAAGATACTGTAAATACTTCTGAGCTCTCAGCAGCCTCAACCTCACTAATATTCTTATGGAACCCACTGACAATTGGCAGTCATCTGTCTATCTTAGAGCAGGCAGGTGAGCACAAAGAGTTTAAAGCATGGATGATGATCAAAAGGCTAGTCTGGATGTATTCAGAGGCTTCCAAAGTTTCATTTCTGACTTAGAAATGTTTTTCAAATGGTGTGGTTCCCTAAACTATTTTTCCAACTCAGATTTCCCTCAATAAATGCATGGTTTGTTATTTCTGTGGTAACTTGACCCCACTCTTCTGCCTATTCTGAAGTCCTCTTCACTGCTGCTACCACATATATGGACTATTAGTGCCCTTGTACATATGACAAAAAGAAATACATGTTTTAAATTATCTCCCTTTAGTTTCAAGAAAAAAAAAAAAAGAATAAGAAAAGAAACCAAAAAGGAAGTAGAGACAAATGATAGCAGAATTTTCTTGGTTAGATTATCCAGAAGCAGGCTCTGTGATGGAGATTGTCTGCAGAAGTTTTATCGGGGAGTTCTTGCAAGACAAGTACCTACAGGAAAGTGAAAGAAGCAGAATTGGACGGAGAAAAAGATAGAACTATGATGCAGCTGCAAGAAAAGTCTCAGCTAATCCCATGGGGAGCTCTGAAGCTGGCATGCCCCATCAGCATTATCCTGAATTGAGGTAAAGAGAGTGAGAACTTCGTACCCCCCACAACAACTAGTCATTGGATGCAGTCATAATCTTGAGAATGGCAACTCCCATCAGCCAAGGGTATTTCCCAGGCAGGGACTCCACTGTGATCTATCAGATGCTAACACTCCTGGCAGCTGGAGAAATGAGCACCTCAATCCCAGAAGGGATTTGGGTAGCTCACCACAACTTTCACTCTAAACCACTACTTATGCCACTCAGATCAACTTGCTTTGTATAATAACGTTATCCCATCTGGAGGCAGCTCTTTCAAGATTCTGGATGGCCTTGTATATTGGGGAAAGTTTTAAGAAGACTGTGAGTGAGCTGAACTATAGTCCTTCATGCTGCAGCTTGTCCTCTACTTCCTTATCACTCAGGATGTTCCTCTTCTTCTGATGCTAGATTTCCACCCTTCCCTAGCACCACTGCTTCTCAAGATGGCTTACCTGATGGAGTAGCACAGACCCTCATTCCTGAGAAGTGAGTCCCTGGTTATCATGCTTTCTAAGGCCATGGCTGCTGATTTTATTATTTAAACATCAAAACTTGGCCAGGAAGTACCTGTGGATTACCTACAGGCCCAACGTATTCTTAACTACCTCAATTTTATAACAGCCATACTATATCTTCTGAGGATCAGGATCATTTGCCTTTGCCAGAATGTGACACCTCTTCTTGATTGCTAGTCTCTCGGCATGAAGACCCTGGACTGACCAGGAAGCAGTTATAGCTTAAATTTTAATAGGACTCCTGGAGAAAATGACCCCCCTCTGAAAACCTGCATGTCCAAATCTGTAAATCTCACAGATGTGCAATGAGAAATAAAAATTCACAAGTGAGTCCTGGGGAGTGATCATAAACAAACATATTCTTGCTTCCATGCCCTTGGTTCCTGGGCCCAAATATTCTATTTACTGAAGACACAGCATCATTTAAGGGCTACTGATTTAGGCAGATTATGGTGTCTTAAGGAATAGCACTCCATCTTTGCAGGGTATCACCTCCCAATTAGCACCTCAGCTGTCCCTTCATAAAGCTGTTCTGTCATGCCTACAACTCCTGGATGTCTTAGTATATAATAAGACCAGGAGGTCCATGGCCATGTACCCACCACCATGTCTCCTTTTTCTATAAAGTGGGTGAATGGTTTGAATCAGATATTATTTAGTACCTGTGCTGGTGGATCCAATACTCTTTAAGTCTACTGATGTTGTGCTGGCTGAAGCCCTGAAATCAAGAAAGGCAAATCCATAACTGGAGCATATGCCAGTTTCAGTCAAGATTAGTGACTGCCTCTTCCAAGGTAGAGGGGGTCCAAAAGTAATCAACTTAATCCTAAATTGCTGGCTGCTCTCCTCAAGATATGGTGCTCAGCACTGGTTTCTGTTGCTAGTAGGTCAGATATCTGGCAGTAGTAGGTGTTAAACCTGTTCAATGAGTGGGAGCCCATGCTATTGCATTCATGCAAACCCAACATCTCTGTTAATATGGTTCCTTGGTACACAAGCCCATTCCCTCAGCACTAGTGAACTAATGGAGATATAATGGATACCATCAACCTTCATCCTTTAGGTCTTTAAGGTTATTCTATCTCTGCCCCAACATTTATTATCTTGATTGAGTGAGGGTCATTCTCAGAGTCTTCCACTTGGTCTTCCTCTCTACAGTATCTCTAACCCCACAGATCAAGGAACTGATGTGCAAGTTCTGCCAACTACTAACCATCTCTATTCCAATTATACACATAAGGACTGGAGAAATTGACCACTAGGTAGATATAGCACTCCGTCTTTGCAGGGTATCACCAGAACAACTGTAAGTCAAATCTATATCAGGATTCCACTTATTACTCGGCCCTCATATACACTGACTCTAATAGGGAGGCCATGATGAAGCTTCTTCAGATCCCTCAGTATTGGCATCAACCTGAACTTTGTGGGGAGCAATCCTTGGAAAGTGTGAGTATTCTCCTTTCTTCAGTGTGTGGTTACCCAAGTAAATGGCTATAGGACTCTTTAGGGGAAAACTGGCAGGTTCATTACTGTATATAATTCTCATGGCTTTACAGAATTCTTCATCCTGGGAATCCAGACTCTCCCTCAGTCAATGGGTTCAAAGTCTAAAACCTAGCTCAGGTCTGGAAATTAGGCAAATGACTTGTTATGAAGGAAGCTTCCCTCAGCCGCCTGTCTCCTGTCATTGATTTCTTTTCATAGACTGAACTGTACTTTTGTTGACTGGCCATTTATCCTTTCCCTGGGGTGCTGTGTTTTACATCCAATCTCCACAACTTTCTGTGGTCCAGGGCCCCCAGCCTCCACTCCAACCTTTCCATTCATTAAGATGATTACACCAATCTTTTTTGCTGATGGTTAAGTGCTACCATTTGACTTTATCATTTTGGCATCCTATCTGCTCCATTGCTTCCTGGGAGCCCCTTTCTGAAACATTTCCTACTATCAACCTGGCCTACAGGAACTAGTCAAAAATTCTGTATCCCTCTCATCAGCACATTTTTTACCTCTTCGGTGAATGTTGTCTCCTACGAGCCCTTCTGCAGAGCGTAGTTGGCGAACGGATTTGCAGGCTATGTATAGCATATCCACTCTTGCATGTCTGCTGCTTTGAATCTTTTAATCTGTTATTCCATCATCTGCCAAGGTAGCTCTGGAATCCCACTTTATTAAGGGTGGGTTATTGCTATCTCCAAGTTCCACATGCCATCCTACCAGCGTATTAGCACCATTTCTTGGAACTTCACCAGGGTGTTAATTCTGTGTCAGAGGAAAGTGTGATGATAGTAATAAAAACTCTCCCTTATTTAATTTTGTGTTCTAATCCTGTGATTTAGCACCCTCAGGATTCAGTTCCATGATACTCTCTAGTTCTTGCTGGTATATGTTAACTAGGTCCAGTGGCTCTTTCAGAGTATATGTGTATTTTTCCTTGCCAAGCCCAGAACTTCCCAGGATGTTACATAATGACTTAATCCTAATTTATTGCCTAGTGGCCAGAGGAGATGAGGAGGGATAGACTCTAACATGATTGTTGCTGTCCTGCAAGGCAGTGGTGTCCTCATTGTCTTCAAGAAAAAAGATTTTCAATAGGAAGGGTGAGTCACTTCTGCTGGCCCCAAGACTTCATGGGTATCTGGGATTTTAATATTTTTGAGTGCCTTGATTTAAGTATTTTGGGGTCTACTCTGACCCAACAAGGGCCATGACCTTGAGAAAGCAGCTTTGCTATGGTTGAGAATTTAACCTTTTCTAGAGCTTTGTTATCCTTATAATTCAGTCTTGGGGCTGATCTTTGACTTATTCTGCCCTCTGGCTATATGGCTAAGTCTATTTATGTGCTACCAAAGAGACCCTCTGACTTTCACTCTTTGCCTTTAGCTGGTGATTAATCACTCTCAACCTTCCACTGTCTTTCTCCAATGCAAAATTTGTGCTCAGCAACAGCCATTTGAGTCCTTTGTCTTTATAACACCATTACCTCATGTTATCAAATGCCTGAAATATTGTAATCTGCCCAAGCATTCCCTTCCATCAATATTGCATCCCAATGTAAAATTGTAAAGTTTTCACAACTACACAACTACCACATGGCAGGGGCTGTGAGCACTCTACCTACTACCAGTGATGAGATTTCACTACCTGCCAGTCCATACATAAAGTACACTTGATCTTCGCCAAAAGACCAAGAAACAGTTGGCCCACGCATAATCTAGCTCCAAAACCCCACTTCAGAATTTGCTTCTTCAGACCACTTCCGGCACCAATTCTCTTAGGTTAGGTTCCTTGAAATATGGACAACGAGATGGAAATTTTCATTACAGAAATATAATCAAGAAAATTAGGCAGCCATGGAGGTGTGCCACACAGATTTACCCACAAGACAACCTGCTTCAAGGAAATAGTTTGAGAGCTTCCCAATGCTACAATTTAAGATTTTTTGCAAGGTTTACACGGTGATCACAATTTCCTTGGGCTTCTCCAGTCAAGTTACTGGCCACAGTTGGGATACTAAAGCCCGGACATTTCTGCCTGACTCAGGACTCCTCTAATAATCACTGTTCTGATTCACTTCATCAGCCTGATCAAGACTTTCTCAGAGCTATGCTGCAGGCAGTTTGAAGTTTTTCCTACCCAATCCTACTTCCTTCCTTCTTTCCTTTCACAGATGTCAGACCTGTAGCCCAGTTTGAAGTCTCTCTTGATGACTCCTGCTTCCTCTGCTTTTCATTTTTCGTAAGTATTTTCCCCAATATGTACATATTTGCACGTCTAATTTCAGCTTGACATCTACTTTTCGGAGAACCCTAATTGACACAGGAGTGATCTCAGGAAGAACTCCTGTCAGGGATTCAAAAAAAAGGAAAAGTGTAAAGGGAGAAATTAAACTCTAGTACATTGGTAGGAAAGGGACTGTCTGGTTTTACGGGGAGTTCTGGACCTGAGATGGCCCTTCAGAGTTTTCCCAAATTGAGGCAAAAGGATCAGCCATTTATACCTTGCATCCATGAGTCATTGAATAAAGGCTACCACAAGGGAGCAACACAACATTGGATGAGTCAACTCCTTTTAGCTGAGGACAAGTCCCAGGGAAAGCCTCAGCTGTGAACCATTAGCAGCAAACACTGCAGTCAGCTAAAGGAATAAGTGTCTTCCTCCCCAAGGGGAGAATGTAGCTGCAAACAGCATCTGCTTCAAAGGGGAAACTATTATTATAGTTAAAGGACAATGGTAATAAGCTGCCCCCTTTATAGAGGGAAAACATCACCTTTGATAAAACTCTATAAATGAGTGGAGCACACTTCTGTTATTAGAGCAAAGGTCAAGAGAAGAGAATCCCACAAGTAGAGCAACTGGGAACAGAGATATACTACATATCAATGGAGTGTGCTTTGTATGGGTTAAACACATTTCTTCCTGGTGTTCTGTGTGCCAAAATGGGAAGACATTTCTTCCTCTTCTCCTTATAAAGAGAATGGGAGAGATATGGTCAATTGTTCAGCCAACCTAAAGTCAGGCAAAAGGTCAGGGTAAAGGGAGTTCCTACTTTTATTGGTGCATACAAATTATTTTCTCACAGCAAATAAAAATAGCAGTAGCTACTCCTAACTAAGTGTCTACTGAGAAACAAGAATGTTTCTTACAGCATGTATGGCACTTGCCATATCAATGTATTGAATCCCAAATAACCACATGAAGTAGGTATCTCCATTAAATGGTCGAGCCAACTAATTATTAGAACATTGATAGTTTTTCCCAATGTTACACAGCCAAGAATCCACAGACTTGTGATCAAACCCAGTTTTCCTTGGCTCCAAGAAGAATTTTCTTTACACTCTCCAATGCTTTCAAATTCCCTTGGAAATTGGAGTTCCAAATGCAAATGCTTTTATTCTCCATCACACCCTTCACTTTAAAGGAAAGACAAAAGCCAAAGCCTCAGAGGCCCTAGACGGTAATGATCAAGTCCATTGATAATTATGATTAGGCAATAATTGCACAGGAGTTTGTTACAGCAGTGACAGAATTCACCTGAAGATTGGGAACTTGTTCTGTGAAACATGTGCTCTCTGCCAGTGTGCATTCACTCAACAGCATTTGTTCAATAGTATCTCTATTCTTCCACCTAACTGTGCTCCCCTTATTTGGCAATCTTCAAAATACAGGCTGCTGTGTGCATGTGCACACACATGCACACACACACATAAAGATTCTCCTACTCTTCAATTATTAGATGCAGCAGGCTGTTAGGGTTTTTCATTCTTTTTCCATATTCAACCCTTTGATGTGTTGCCTGTACTATTCTTTCCCCATGAGCTAACAAGGCTGTCTCTAAGGAGGGGTTCAGGGGCAACCAATTAGAGAGAGAATGTGAGGGTGATCAGAATAGAGCAGCCTGCTGAGAGGCTGTCATTTACAGACTTAAAGGCAATGCAATCATTGCTAAAGGCTTGGGTTTCAACAAGAGCTGTAGCATTCCAGCCATATTTCCAGTCATCTGAATTTGATGGGTTGTTTTTTTTTTGTGCTTTACATTGTTTAATTTTTTTCTGTTTTAAAAATAACCATTGCTTACATTTTAAAATACCTAATAATAGTGGTAATCTCTTTGCAATAAAATATGGATGATGGTAACCTGCTCATAAAATGCAATGCTGTGAAAAGAATCTAACAACCATTTGAATATATGTATATGTAAATTACTGATGGTTGTGAATAGAATTTCAACATATACATGAAGAAAATGGAAGAAAATTGTGCCACTCTCTGTGTGTAAAAGCCAGAGGTGATGCCATGTTACAGTAGTAAATTTAGGTCCTCCCAAATCAGCATATGTAAAATGTAAGCTTATAATAACACAGCTAAGTCTCCATGATAATATTTACCGTCCTCAAATGTATACGACCAGAGCAGCCGCAGAAGAACAGAGTGGGAAGGAACCTCTTAACTTTACTTTGATGCCTCAATTTGTTCACAGTAAGAAATCAATCCTGACTTTTTAAAATTTACTTGAGTCTTGAAAGAAAAGCTGATCTGATTTTTTTGAAGGAATTAGAAAGAATAGGAACAAAATGGAGGGGGATGGCCCTGAGAAAAGATCACTCTGTCTATCTCCCACCCCCACCAACTCAATAAATGATGGCCGCATTCAGCAGACCACTCCCAATTCCTCCCAGCCAGAGTTCCTAAGTGTCCTGGCTAACTGATGCTGGATTTTGTCTGTAACAATTTCCACCAATTATTAAGGGGCACACAGACAGGTTTTGACACAATCAAGTGTTAAACAGAAACACAAACAGAAGGATTGTGTGTCTAACCAACATAAACAGACGTCAAGGAGTGAAAAATTATGCCTTTTTTTAAAGTCAGTATGTCTGTGTGTTTGCACTAACATATGCCTAGAACATGTGTATTTTGAAAGGTAAGCATGAGGAGTAACGAGTTAAGAAACAACAAAGCTTCTCCTTGGGAAAAAAAGGAAGGAAAGGAAAGGAAAGGAAATTACTGTTGTAGTTTCAGTACGTTTAAAGTGTTTTAACATTACATTTTGCATCCATTTGGAGGGGTGGGAGACAGTAGGCAGGCTGTTGTGGCTACTGAACTGAGAAATCTGAGAACATGCGGATGTGGGCTGAGTTGGTGACCTAAGTCAGAGGGATTCACTCTTTGTCTAGAATGTGAGATCAACTTTCCCTGATACAAAAATGAGCTGATCTCCACAGGTATTCTTCAAGGGCAGAACAGAAATGGAGAAATAGATTCAACTGAGAAAGCAAGTTTAAACAGGAAAAGACAGAATTCAGCTAGGAGCTCTTGAAGGGGGCTGATGTAGAGTTAATAGTTCTGGATATTACCTTAAAAAGGTGGATAAGGATGCCAAGCTTCCCCAAGAAAAGGCAGAATCAGACTTAATGGGAGAGAGAAATATCTTTTAGGCAATCTAAGCAAGGGAGGGTTCAGAGAATGAATGTTTGAATGGGTGCTCTCTGTCAGGTACTGTGCTAGGCACTTCGCAAATGTTATTTTAGTTAATCCTTATAATAATTCTATGAGGTAAGGAATATATTTCACATTTTGCCAAGGAAAAAATTAAGGTAACACAGGATAAATGTTTTCCTGAGAATCACACCACACAGCTAGTATTCAAGCCAAGCTCTGTCTGCCTGACTTCTAGGAACTGGGACCCAAGAGAGCTTCAGGAGCAGTAAACACACCTGTACCAGGGTGGTGGATGACCTGGGGGAGTCTTTGGGGGTTCACAATAGAATGTCTTAATTAGTGAAAGAAATTAGGAAACAAGTTCTTGAAGGTATTGGACATTCTCCAGAACTTGCTGAAGTATCGATTTGAATCTAATGCAGACAGTCTGAGGAGCTTGTACTTATTGAAGAAGATTCGATGGGGAGACCCCAAAAGACTCCAAGGGACTTCTGCAGGTCTTCAGCAGCCATGGAGGTGAACCACTCAGAGCTCCCTTGAAAAAAGAACCTGCAGTGAGGAGTAGACAACCTGGCTGACAACCTCCAGGTCCACTCCTTCAGGATCTGCTGCAGTGATTATGCAGAGGCAATGTTCTCCCAGGGAAGGGTGAGCCAATATGAGGGGAAGCAAAGCAAGCTTGACCCACATGAAATTGTGGTGATGGTTAACAGAGCATAGTGTCACCAGGGGTGAAATAGACAAGCAGCCATCAAGGGTGCTGTTCAAATCTGTAATCCTCAGTAGGAAAGAATCAGGGAACAGGAGGCAAAAGGACATTTATCCCAATAAAACATCATGATCTTTTGCCACTGATGTGGTGAATGTATTCCTTTCAGGGAAGGATAAGGAAGAGCATGTATTCACATGCAACAGGGAATTATATTTTTTACAGTTTTACACCCAACTCCATATTCGTTTTCCTATGCACTATTTTAACATAGTCCAAAACTTCTAGAGTGTGTGGACATCTAGCAGAACATCACAACGATCCATTATATCCATCAAATCATGCTGATAGAGAAGCAAAAGTCACAGTTGGCTAATGTGCTGTTTGCATTAGTAGGAGTCATGCACTCCACAAAGAGAGAAATAAACCCTACAACAATTCAAGGACCTGTCTCTTCAGCAACATTTTTAGGAGCCCAGTAGTCAGGGGGTACACTGAGATATCCCCTCCAAGTAATAATTAGTTTGCTGCATCTTATACTCACTACCATTAAGAAAAAAGCACGATACCTGAACAAAAGGTTGTTTGAATTTCGGAGGGAACACATTCTACACTTACGATGCTCGTCCAGCCTATATGCCAGGTAACATGGAAGTCTGCCAGATTTGAGAGTTATGTAAAACAGAAAAGAGTTCTGGATCAGGTTTCAGATGCAGTGCAAGGAGCTCTGACTCTTGGGCCATATTATTCTATAGACCTATTGTGTTGGTGGTGTCATTGGTGGGATAAGACGCAGTGTGGAGCATATGGCAAACCACAGTGAGAGGGATCATAAGTTCAGGCCCCTCGGTTTTTTGGAGCAAGGTGCCATCTGCAGCGGAGAATTCAATACCTTTTGAGAAACAGCTCCTGGCATGTTACTAGACCCAGACACAGAAAGAATCTTGACCACTGAGCACCAAGTGAACATGTATCTGGAACTTCCCATTAGGGGCTAGGTTTCATCAAACCCACCAAGTCATAAAGATAAACTACTCAGAAACAATCCATTGTCCAAGACCAGAAGGCATAAGTTAGTTGCAAGGATAGATAGCACAGACTCTCACTTCAATCACTACTATTGCTCCTCCCCCTACTCACACCTATGTCTGTATGGGAGTCCTCATAGGATGAGGTGTAAGAAAAGGGAAAAGCCTCAGTTTGTTTTATGAATGGATCAGCCTGGTATATTTGTGTAAGCTGGAAATAGATGGTGGCTGCATAATAGCAGCTTCCAGATGTGGCCGTCCAAGCAGTGGAAAGGGAAGCTCTTTCCAGCTAACAGAGCTGCAAGTGGTGAACCTGCCCATTCATTTTGTAAAGAAGTGGCCCAAAGCAAAAAACACATACAGACTTCAGGGCAGTGATCAATAGCCTGGCCATTTGGTCAGGACCCTGGCAGAAAAAGTCTGCAAGATTAGAGACCAGGAGGTCCAGGGTAGGGGCATGTGAATGGGTACATGGGAGTGGGCATAAAGTGTGAAGATGATTTGTTGCATGTTACTTTCCACCAGAAAGCACCCACCACAAAAGAGGCACTGAGGAACCAAGTAGGCAAAATGACTCAGTTCACACTAGCCAGCCTCTGGTAGTGGAAACTTTGGAAGCAGCACAACGGGCACGTGATCAAATGGCCATGTAGGCAGAGACAGCTTATATGCTTGGGTCTGTTAGACTTTTTCAGGCCAATTCAGGTAAAACTGCCTCTGCTAGCTGCAGAGACCAATGCTGAGTTGCTGGTACAGCACAAGTTGAAGAGACCAACTGGCTGCTTTGTGGTATATTAACTACATTGGCACATACCACCTCAGGGCTAGACAGCTATACTAAGCACAATTTCACCCTTCATACCAGCAGAGCTTCAGCCAACACCACTATCAGAGGCTTCTAGAATGTCTGATTCACACGCATGAAATCCCACACAGCACGGCGTAAGATCAGAGGACCCTTACCATAGTGAAGGAAGTGTGAGCGTGGGCCATGACAATGGGATCCACTGATCGTATCACAAATCACAACATCCAAAAGCAGATAACCTGATAGGGCATTAGAACAGCTTGCTTGAGGCATGATTGATACACCAGCTCAGAGCCAATACTCTGCAAGAATAAGTTGCTATCTTCTGGGATGAGTATACACACTAAGTTGGATACCTCCATAACCATTACATACCTATAAAAAAAAAAAGGATGCAAGGCTTTTCAAACCAAGGAATGGAGTGGCTCCACTCACAATGACCTATTGGAGGCACTTTGTGCTTCTCATTCCTGCTACTCTGAGTTCCTAAGGGATAAATATTCTGGTCCTCTAAAAGGTGTAATCTTGCCAGGGGACAAGTTTACTGTTAACTGCCAGGTTCAGATGCTGCCTGGGCACTTTGACATTCTTGTATACAGGGACCAGCAAGAATGAAGACTAGCCATCTTGGCAGAGGTAGGAGGAGATAGAGCTGCTGTAAAATAACAGAGGCAAAGAGAAGAACATGTGGCACCCAGGCTATCCACTTGGATATTCTCAATCCTCCTTTGCCAAGTTGTAACCTGATGAACATATGCATGAACCCTGAACTGGGATGGGTATGAGAAGCCATAAGGGCTTAGACTCCTTAGGAAGGAGGGTTTAGATCATACTACCAGCTAAGCCATTGTGTGGAAGTGATAGCTGAGGGTGAAGGGTGTTTAGAATGAAGAGTGGGTAGTAGAGTAGGGAAATGATGGGTACCAGTTGCATTTTTTAAACTACTGGCAGCTACAAGGGCTGGAGTTTGCCCTACTATCTTCCCTTTTCTAAATTTTCTTTCATGAAAAGAGGAAGGAAAAGGGGCTCACAGAAGCCAGGGAGTTGCTGCTATGTGGATTTGTGGGGAAGCAGAGCTGAGTGGCTCATGGGATAGGCTGTTTTGCCATAGAAGTTAACTGCCCACATCTCCATTGAAGAACAAACCTGTTATGAGAAGTGTAATGAGTGGACAGGTTCAAGTTGCTGCACCTTCAAGACCTGCCATAGTTTTCACGTTGAGGCCAAGTTCTCTCCAGGCAACTTCTAGCCAAGGACTAAGGATGATGGTGGTGGGGCAGTGAGTGCCAGAGGCAGGCCATTTCTGCCCAGTGCAGGATTCTTTCAATGTGCAATCTTTGCTCTAGGGATTCCCATCAGCTTGGTTGAGACTTTTTTGGAGCAGTGCTGCAACCTGAGGCTCTTTCTACCCATCCTTCTTCCTTCCCTCTCTTCTTTCACAGATGGCAGACCTGCATTACCATTTGAAGCTCACCCTCTACCTCCTGATCCCTCCACTCTTTAACCTTCACAGACATTTCTTTCAAAAATCTTTTCAGATTCTGCTTTTGCATCCTTTTCCCAAAGGACCCAAAGAGACATAAGAAGTATGTAAAAAAGGAGTCAGAGACTAGCTTGTGAGAAAGAGCTGTACTCTTGTATTTCAATAAGGGCTATAGGCTTATATTTCAAGAAGAACCAAGGAACCAATTCACAGTTTCTGTTTTGAGATTTCTGAAACCTTTATCACTGTCTCAGTGCTTGTTTCTTGTTTGCTGCTGCTTGGTTTTGTTGTATTTACTTACAGTAAAAATTCCCCAAAATAGAAAGGAGTAGCAGTGCCAGTTTTAAAGAGAGAAGAAGTTAGAAACTGTGTTCTGTTTTTCTGCTACCCTGGGCAGACAAGAATCCAGCAGGGAAAACCTGCTGGTGGCAGGGGAAGTGATAGCAGGATACTTAGCCAATGATGAGGGGTAAAAACTAAACATCTATTTAACACCAACTTGGGCCAGGTTGCACACTTTCCCACTAAGATGTATTTGAAGCATTTAAGTGTCCAAGTTGGTCTTTAGTTTTCCTTAAGCAAAGTGATTTGGATTACAAGGTCATTGGTTTGGCATTTTGGAAGTTTTTGAATACAACCTGATCTACTTTAGTAAGGCTACCAAGAACAGGGATTCTGAGGCACAGGAAAAGAATAAGAGCTATGTTCATAACTGCCCAAGCATAAAAAAGGATGGCCAGGCGTGGTGGCTCAAACCTGTAATCCCAGCACTTTGGGAGGCCGAGGCAGGCAGATCACCTGAGGTCAGGAGTTCGAGACCAGCCTGACCAACATGGAGAAACCCTGTCTCCACTAAAAATACAACATTAGCCAGGCATGGTGGTGCATGCCTGTAATCCCATCTACTCGGGAGGGTGAGGCAGGAGAATCACTTGAACCTGGGAGGCGGAGGTTGCAGTGAGCCGAGATCGTGCCATTGCACTCCAGCCTGGGCAACAAGAGCGAAACTCCATCTCAAAAATAAATAAATAAATAAAAGGCCACTGGACATTTTCCTAAGGTGATAATTCAATTGCAGATATTACTTTTACTGTAGTGAGAAGTAACCGTGAGATTATTTGGTACATTTGAAGGGGAAAAAGTGGTGCCTAAGGCAACTAAGGAGAGTGAGAGGAAATAGAATAGAGAATATTGGCAAAGATCATGAAAGGGTATGAAAGTGAAACTCCAACTGTAAGAGAAAAACCACTACCAATTAATAATAGTTGTGGTGGTAGTAGTAGACACCCTGGTATCAAGTATTGAAATGTGACATTCCCAGGGATTCTTATAGGAGACGAGAAACACCTAAAATTAAGTCACTTAGAAATCATTTCTGAAGGTGTCTAACCTCATTCATTTTATTTGAGCCCACCTGAGATTAGCTGAGCCCTATCCAGACAAGCAGAACCACCAAACCCACCCACAGGCTTGTGAGAAATATTAAGTGGATTTTTTAAGCCATTAAATTTTGATGTGCTTGTTAGGCATCAATTGCTAACATACACATAGAGTAGTATCATAAAAATTTTAATAGATTACATGTTCTGTTAATATTTGTTTTATTTTGCAAAATAGTTTAAAATTATTTTCACCTTTTACCTTTTCCAACCCTACCAAAGAAACCAAAATAAATAGCCTCATATGTATCTTCTTCTCACCTTTTTCCATATTCTTAGTTTCCCATATACACTGATGTACATTTATCGACTCTTTTCTAAGGGTTTTGTTTAAGAGATCATACTGTATATTTTTCTCTGTCTTCCTTTGCTCATCTAACAGTACACTGTGGGGATAATTCCAAGTCAATGAATCTAGATATAGCTCATTCTTTTTAAGAGCTCCATAACATTTCATTATATAAATATACCACAGTTTATTGAACCATTCTTCTAATCACAAGTATTCCGATATTTAACAGTTTCTTGTCATTACAAACAATGCTATAATAAACATTTTTCTTCTACTTTCCTAAAATTCTTAGTTCTAAGTTTACTCTAAACTTTTTTTTACTCTAAACTTCTAATATTCTTATATACCAGTGCTTTTATTTCTATAATGTGATGAAGACCCAGAGGAGATAGCTAGGTCAATAGGTATGTGTATTGTTTTAAACAGATATTTCCAGAATAGTTTTCTGTAACCAGGAAGAAATTCACATTTCTACCAGTGATATAGGTTATGCCCTTCCCTCCACAACTCACCCCTGCCACTGTCTCCTCCTCTCTAGGTCTTGCCATCAATCTTTAGTTTGGCATGACCATATATGGATGCTGATCCTGGCTCCCATGAGCACCAGCAAGAGAGACAAAGTTCTTTGCTTCCCACGCTCTTCTTTCTTGCTCTTTACATGAAGGTGGGGCTCTATGGCTACATCGATGGTTGTGTACAGCCTGGGCTGCTGTCCCCTCCCTTGTGTGATATCCACACATTCCAGTTTCCCTGTTCTCTAGCACACGCAGCAGTCCTCTCCCTGAAGATGAGAAATGTCCCTGACTTCCACTCTTCTGGCAGCTGCTTGAGCTCTCAATGTCTTAACAGAGACTTAAGAAATTCTTCATTTTTTCTTTTTATTTTCTCTGGCTTTCTTTTTATTTTCCAGAGCCTTCTCAGGTTAAAGCTGCAGAACAAATCTGCGGGGCAAAGGGCAGGAGTTGAGGATGGTATAAGCACGATCCCTAAGCACCATGTACTTAAAATACTCCTTCATTTCACTCTCTGCACATTGGCCATGCTCTTGGAAAAAGCTTCCTAGATTATTCTTTTCCTTGAGGCTCCATGGGCTTAGACCACCACTGGCCTTCCAGGATGTCTGCGTTTGTAGTGTGTACAATCTGGGATCTACTTTATAGCCACCAAAGATCTTTACTGCATATGGGTATCAAAGGGAATTAGCTTTTCTTCATTATCTGTTCTTATCTTACAAGAATTTGCAATATTGACTAATTAATGGTCCTCACACTCACATTATTTGATCCTCACAAATCAACACACAGTCAATAGCAAAGAACATAAAAGAAATCCATAGAAAACTAAAGGAAAAAAGATAATCTTGTAATGACTTGAAAATCTTTGCTTCTCTTTTCAAATGTAAGTTCTTTCCTCTGAGAAACAAGATGGAAAGAATGAAGAAGATGGAATTTCTGAGCAACATCTATAGGGATATGCATGTGAGCACAGGCTACAACATGTTCTCTGGCCTCTATGACATTGGAAGTGGCAAGAGAAAATGTATATAACCACGGCCAAAAGAAGCCTTCTTCCTTTCACTCTATCTTTGACCCTGAATTATTTATTATCCTTAGAAGCACAATAGAGATCAATGTGATTGACATTATAAGAACCAAAGATTTTACTTCCATGGAAACTTACTTTTCAAAAAGTCACTGTGGATGGGTTAACCCAGCTGGCAACATAGATATGATTTTCCTTCTCTCTACATTGTCTTTTTTGACTAGGCAGGCAGTTGAATGGCTCTATAAGCCAGAGACCAGTGAGATATAAAACAAGGTGATGACTCACCTTGAACAGGATGGAATTGACATGCTATCACCTTGTAGAGATGTAAGTGCCAGAAACACAGTTGGAATTTTGATGGGTAATAATTATTAAATCTGAATAATTAAGCATATCTATTCTTAGGGATTATTAGACCTAATAATTATTACCCAGAAAAAATATGTGTGGCTTTGAAATCGACATTTTATCACCAATGATGAGCCTGTCAATTCCATCCCATTAGCCAGTTTTTGTTGCCATCTAATGTTAATGTAAGGAAGTCACTGGAAATCACAGTTTATAACAGTACACACTTACATGTACTGTTTAGTGAAGTATAAACTATCAAAAGACTTTACTATTTATGCACAGAACACCTAACATTCTGATTCATTAAAAACAATTATAGTGTGACCAGATAGCATTTCACACTTCTCACTCTAGCAACTTCACTAAAAGAAAGGAAAAAGACAAGTGAAGGATCAACATTTATTGGCTACATACAGATGCTGACTATTTTACATTCCCCATTCCATATAATAATCACAACTACTTTATCATTAGTCTTTGGTTATAAGGAAACTGAAGCTTTGAGAAATAAAGTCCCTTGCCGGGTCCACAGAACTGGTCAAGGATAAAGGTGGGATTTGAACCCAGATCAGCCTATTTCTCATGCTTCACAACATAAGATATATGTTCCATGAAGCATAATTCAAGAAAAGGAAAAAAAAAAGCAAACCATTTGACTAATAATTTCAAGCTGTATATGGAGTGGAATTCAAAAGTCACATGGATTTGTAGAATAAACTGATGTTTATTGTACAAATAAAGGCCACAGATTTGAACCAGGCCTGTCTGATTTTAAAGCTATGTACTCTCCACAACCCTGCTGTATCTCCACCAACACATATTCTTTATCCCCATTGCTGAGAGAAACAAATGTTGCCAAATGCTTTCCAGAAAAGCAACTTGAATTTTCTTTGAGATTACTATGGGTTTGTTAAACTTGATTGACCCTAATATTACAGTTGGAAATAAAAGGTTGTTTTTAAAAGCAAAAATTAGGGGTAAAAGGGTTAAAAACTTTTTTTTAATTGGCACAAGGCAACTTTCAAAGGAAAGTTGAGAACACCAAGCTGGGGCAGAAACAGACAAGTCACTGGGCAGAGGCAGAAGCCCAGGGATTAGCAGTAGCTGGCATGGTGATGCTGGCAGCAGCTGCAGCAACATTCATTTTACTCAATTCATCTTATTTCAGCTATCAAACCAGGTGGTCACAGGAACAATGAGGGTACGAACTTGTTTTCAGGATGTTGCCAAATGTTTTCCTCAAGAAAACATGATTCAGATATGTTATATCATTGGAGTATTTACAAGGTCAAGGAACACCCATAGCGCTTGGTGACACATCAGAAAGGAAGTATTAAATCTGGGTTAAAGAGCTGGACTGACTGTGTGAGCCCCATAAAGTGTGTTCTGTTCTGTTAGGCATCATGAATTTTGTTAGAAATCAGCCCAGGATAAAGAACATGTTAATTTGACCTCCAAAAGCCTTCAGGCACTATATGCATTTGTAAGTAGTAAAAGTAAACCACAGAGATTTTGTTTCGGGACCAGATAGAAACATGAGGCAGAAAAGGAAAAGTTCTGTATTTCAATGTCTTTATTTTCAGTATGGGCCGAGGAGTGCAGATCACTGCTTTTAAAATCACCAGTCATGAAATCAATTCAGTGGCACTGACAAATATTATTTTAAAATGAACTACGATAGAAAATAGCAGAGTATATTGCCTATAGTAAAAGTAAGAATTGTTTCATTAAAATTTCCTTCAGTTATGTACATACAGGCACACATAAGTTTGTGTGCACTGGGACACAATATATAGAATTTCTTAATGTGTGTCACAAATAAATTTGAAAGCCACTGGTCTAGATGACATCTAAAGTGGCTTCTGGCTCTAAAACCACATGATTCTGCTTTCATGCAAGTTGGTGGCATCTGGCGCAACTTATTGCAGCCTCCAAGTTTCCTGTAGGTTGCTTAGAGATGGCTACAAATGGTCTCAGAGGGGCTGACGTGTCAGAGCTGCAATCTGCCAAATCCAGGGCAGCTCCACTTTCATCTCCGGTACATAGTGTGTTAAGCAGCAAGGTGTGCATGCATTAAGGGCAATACAGCCTCTGGAAACAAAAAATAGCTTGAAACCCATGGTCCAAGGATATGCTAAGAAATCTAGAGCCTGTGATCCCCCCACAGACAGGGAAGAGATGCTAAAATGTCCCCATATGGGCCAAACACATTATGTATTTTCTGCTTTTTTTTTTTTTTTTTTTTTTTTTTTTTTTTGGTGTGAGACAGAGTTTCGCTCTTGTTGCCTAGGCTGGAGTGCAATGGTGTGATCTTGGCTCACTGCAACCTCCACCTCCCAGGTTCAAGTGATTCTCCTGCCTCAGCCTCCCAAGTAGCTGGGATTACAGGCATGTCCCACCACGCCTGGCTAATTTTGTATTTTTAGTAGAGACGGGGTTTCTCCATGTTGGTCAGGCTGGTCTCGAGCTCCCAACCTCAGGTGATCTGCCTGCCTAGGCCTCCCAAAGTGCTGGGATTACAGGCATAAGCCACCTATCTATATTAGTTTATTTCATTTTCACAACGCTTTTAGGCTATTAGGTCTCTCTTCCCTCTTTGGCTATTATGTCTCTCTTCCCTCTTTTAATAGTTGAATAAAAAGAAGTTTAGAAAAATAAATAAGTGACATGCTCAAGGCCACAGATTTGAATCTAGCTAGGGCTGAACCAGGCCCTGTCTGATTTTAAAGCCATGTACTCTCCACCACCCTGCTGTATCTCCACCAACATATATTTTTTATGTCCATTGCTGAGAGAAACAAATGATGCCAAATGCTTTCCAGAAAAGCAACTTGACTTTTCTTTGGGATTACTAAGTGTTTGTTAAACTTGATTGAACCTAATATTGCAGTTGGAAATAAACGGTTGTTTTTTAAAAGCAAAAATTAGGAGTGAAGGAAGAAAAGGTAAGTATGTAGAGGGAATTAGAGACCGATAAGGTTCCCAATATCGACAGTTCTTTTTAGAATGACTCTCTGAAAAACAAAGGAGAAAAAGGGAGAATGCTGAATTCAGCTTTCACAAAGTCATGAACAGCTGGAGTGTTTCTGCATGATTTATCCCAATGTAACAAGTTTGGAATTTTTAAGTTTTGGGAAGGAGACATGAAATGAAGTTCATGTTAGTTTTGGGTTATCTTTGTAACAGTTACCCTTTGATGCCTAGGAATCTTCAATTTGGAAATCTAGATAATATGTTCCTTGCACAGCGAAGATTTGAGAATCATCCCCTGGACTTGGAACATTAACCTTCCTACCTCAGGACTACTTTACCCATTGAAACCAGCCTCTTTTGTGTGGAGGCATTTCTTGGCTTTCTTGCTAGAGTTTAGGACTCTCCACCGGCGTTGTGTTAGCATTTCGATGAGGACAACAGTTCACGGGAGACCTTTCTTCAAACACTGAGTTTCTGGTTCATTCAAATTTCTGTTTTGGGCTCCCAGAAAAATACCATCGAGAAAGGACAGATGTGCCAGTGAACTAGGAACATCCTGAGTGGGTCAGGATATGCTCCAGAGGTACAATGACCTTCCCTTATTTGTGGTGACAAGAGCTTCTACTTCGAGATTGGCAGGGGCCCCAGAAACCTGTCAGTTTACATTGCTAGGCAAACGATGAATGGTACTGTTACAGTCAGTGCCACATTTTAAAGACCTTGTTTGGACAGTAAATTGGCTTGAAATAAAACATGAAGAATCTGGCTGTGATTTCAATGCCCAGGTGAGATGGTTTCAAAGCCTGGGGGAAAGGGCAAAGAGGGTGTGAATCTTCAATCAAGAAACTAAATAGCAGCTGTTCCCATAGGCAAGCAGTACAAATGATTCTGCTACTGAGATAGGCTTACAACAGATCCAAACTAATCTTGGTGAAACTGTGCTCTAAATTATTAGTGTTAACAAGCATTTACTAAGACAGTTGCATTATTTTCTCTCCTCAGAATTTCAGAGCCTAGCAAACCCCTCCTGCCCCCCTGCCCCTCTGTTTGTCATTCCATTACAGTATCTGTTTTGTTTTTTGTTTTTTTCATTTCTACAAAGGAAAAAGGGCACTCCCAAGGATGGGCATAAAGATGGAATCATTAGGAAACAATAACAAACTGTTCATTCTCATTCAGGGCGTCAGCTATAGATTCCACCCAATTATTATTCCTCCCAACTATTTAGTACACATCAGGAGGCTACTTTGATCCCCAGGAGTTGCATAGGCAGACCAAATACTTGAATCTACTCTCTTAATATGCAGGAGGTGAGAATGAACTTTAGAAGTCCAGCTCATGGTCTCATCATGACCATAAGTCTATCTTTTCTTTTTGACAGTGACCTTTTAATTCAAAGAGTGCCCATTTTCCTAAAGGTTTCACACTATTGCCGAATTCAGTGTTGAAGAATGCTTCCTCCAGTTTCCAACTTCTACTTGATTTAAATATTGCCCAAGTTGGTCACTCTCAGGAGCTGATAAAGTGCTAGGTACAGGCTGTGACAAATATTTGATTTTAAAAAAAGTACGTGCCAGTTATCTGCCCACAGAATATCAGAGAGGTATTGAGGAATTATTCTTATATATCTTTATCCTGCCACTTTAACTTAAAAAAAATTTTTGACGGACACTTCATAGTGAGGAAATAGCAGCTGCAGGCACAGGAAACCAGAAGTATGAAGATTTTGCTAGGGCACAGTAAAGCTTTCAGTGGTCTAGTTGAGGATGAGTAGGGGCAGTCAGGGGCCCAGAACTGAGGATTACAGAGGTAGGATAGATGTTATGTGGGAAATGTACCCACTCTCTTTTGTCCGACATTCCTTAGACTTATGCCAGTATTCCTTACTCTTAACCTGTTGCTGTTTTGTCCTTTTCCTCTTCTACCCACAAGCAAACAAACAAATTAAAAAGATAACTTAATTCCAGGCTGTTGATGAGAAATGTGGAGTACTTGTCAGAAAGCATCACAGTATAATGCAAAGAAGAGGAGGCTGTGTTCAGACACTTGAGCTGTCATGGATTGAAAGGATCAATATTATGAAAATGACCATACTGCCCAAAGCAATCTACATATTCAATGCAATTCTTACCGAAATACCAATGTCATTTTTCACAGAATTAGAAAAACAAATCCTACAATTCAAATGGAACCAAATAGAGCCCAAATAGCCAAAGCAATCTTAAGCAAAAAGAGCGAAACCAGAGGCATCGCATTACCTGACTTCAAACTATACTACAAGGCTACAGTAATCAAAACAGCATGGTACTGATATAAAAGTAGATGTATAGACTAGTGGAACAGAATTTGAAAACCCAGAAATAAATCCAAATACCTACAAGCAACTGATCTTCACCAAAGCAGAAAAAAATATACACTGTGGAAAGGACTCCCTACTCAACAAATGGTGCTGGGAAAATAGGATAGGCACATGCAGAAGAATGACACTGGGTCCCTATTTCTTACCATATACAAAAATCAACTCAAGGTAGATTAAAGACTTAAGTGTAAGACCTGAAGTCATAAATATTCTGGAAGGAAAACTAAGAAAAATTCTTCTGGACATTGGTTTACGCAAAGAATTTATGACTAAGACCTCAAAAGCAAATGCAACCAAACAAAAATAAATTAATGAGACTTAATTAAACTAAAAAGTTTCTGCACAGCAAAAGAAATAATCAACAGAGTAAATAGCCTACAGAATGGGAGAAAAATATTTGCCAACTATACATCCAACAAAGGACTAATATCCAGAATCTACAAGAAACTGAAACAAATTAACCAAAAAAGTAATTATCCCATTAAAAAATAGGCAAATGACATGAACAGACATTTATCAAAAAAAGATACACAAATGGCCAACAAACATGAAAAAATACTCAACATCACTAATCATCAGGGAAATTCAAACTAAAGCCACAATGAGACACCATCTCACACCAGTGAAAATAATCAGAATGGCCATTATTAAAATGTCAAAAACTGGCTGGGCACAATGGCTCACTCCTGTAATCCCAGCATTTTGGGAGGCCAAGGCAGGCAGATCATCTGAGGGTAGGAGTTTGAGACCAGCCTAGCCAACAAGGCAAAACCCCATCTCTACTAAAAATACAAAAATTGGCCGGACATAGTGGCATGCACCTGTAATCCCAGTTACTTGGGAGACTAAGACAGGAGAATCACTTGAACCCAGAAGGCGGAGGTTGCAGTGAGCTGAGATCATGCAATTTCACTCCAGCCTGGACAATAAGAGCAAAACTCTGTCTCAAAAAAAACAAAAAAAGTCAAAAACTAATAGATGTTGGTGCAGATGCAGTGAAAAGAGAATGCTTATACACTGTTGGTGCAAATGTAAATTTGTACAACCTCTGTGGAAAACAGAATGGAGATTTCTCAAGGAACTAAAAGTAGATCTACCATTTTATCCAGTAGCACTACTGAGCCACTACTAGGTAGCCACCCAAAAGAAAAGAAGTCACTGTACCAAAAATATACCTGCACTCTGTTTTTATTGCAGCACAATTCACAATCACAAAGATATAGAATCAACCTAAGTGCCCATCAACTGATGAGTGGATAAAGACAATTTCACACCACAAGATACTACTCAGCCATAAAAAAAGAAGAAAATAATGTCTTTTGGAGCATCTTGGAAGGAACTTGAGGCCATTATCCTAATAAGTAACCAAATACCACATGTTCTCACTTACAGGTGGAAGCTAAGCTATGGTTACATAGGAACATATAGACCGGTATAATGAACATTGGAGACTCAAAAGAGAGAGTGGGAGGGTGGTGAGTAATGAAAAATTACCTATTGGGTACAATATACACTATTTAGGTAAGAAGTACACTAAAAACCCAGACTTCATCATGTAACCAAAACCCACTTGTACCCCTAAATCTATTGAAATTTTTTTAAAAAATGAAGATACCTGAGCTGACATCCTGGTTGTGTGACTGGTAACAGTGTGATAGATGAACTCCCAAATAACTAGAGAAAATGATTTTTCATTCAAAATGCCCTTTCTTCCCGCCAGTTTGGCACTATACCTATATGTAAGGTTGCCCCTGTCGAGAGCTATAAAGACAGTGAAATGGTGTGAGTGACCAAAAACCAAAAATGTTATTTTTATCTCTTAGTTTCAAGGTAAGTATAAGTACAATATAAACATGGACTGCTTCTCTCGTGGGTTTCTCCTATTGAATCTCTTTCATTCATTCTGTGGGGTTTGCTTCATCTCTTTTGATTTAATTTTGTGCCTATGGAGCTCTCCTCTACTTTTCCCAAACTCTTTAAGCATGTCTTCCTATCTGTGGTTTTTGAATCAAGAATGATCTGATGGCTGTATTCACAAACACTATGGCTTTTCTGAAAGGTGTCAGTACAAGACTTCAACCCAGTCCCTTTTTCCTTGAATTTTTTCCAGAGGTATGATGTTTCTGGGAGCTAAGACTCAGAGGAAGAAACAGATACAAGACTACGTCTATATGACATAAAGCCAGTGACTAATAAATTGTTCATTAAATATATATTCTGGTCAGTGAAGATGTCTATCAGAAAAGTTGTTTGGCAAATTATATGAAAATAAAAACATCATGTGTGTGAATCTTTCATTTCTCTTATTAGTTGTCATAGTATAGAATCAAAATTAGGAATATAGAGGTTAGAAATACATGAAAGAAATATGAGATAAAAGAAATGTATCAATTATTAGGTTGGGGCCAAACTGATTACGGTTTTGCCATTACATTTAATGGCCAAAACCGCTATTACTAACTAACCCAAATATTTCTTGGGATCTGGAAAAATGAGTTTTCAGTGTACATTCTACAGATTTCATGAACAGGAGATTATGTATTTCATAATACATATTTCTTAATTAGATTTCATTAAAGAAGCAAAATAAACGACACACAAACTAAAACAACCTCTTCTTTTACAATAAAAATTAGGTCTCCAGATTTATTTTGTTGATTTCCCCTATTATTTCCCTGTTTAATCCTTTGCCCCTTTCTTCAAAAAGACAAAGTGACAAAATTCCAGAGTCCAGCTGTAACCTTTAGGACTCAGTTTTAACTTAGCCCCATCTTCTTTCCTAACATACTCCCTCAATGAAAGGTAAACATCAGCTTTATTTTTTTGTTAGTCCACCCTCAATTAAAACATTTAGGGACTCATTATCCATATAGCATACTGTGCAGGATGTATCTATGTCCTCCCCCTTCCTTTCTTTCTTAACTTTTACCAATTTTTCTTCCCATTAACAGTTCACTCTGTCTGCACATGAAGGAAGAACCATAAATGCTGTTAAGTGTTCAGGTAAAAGGGTCAACGGTATTCTGATAATTTAAAAGGAGTGTCTCAAACAAGGTAGGTAGGGGATTGTAATTTTGCGCATGTTCATAATTGAGGGTTAGCTGTATAGTCACCAGCTAAATGAAGACGTTAGAACAGACTCTCTGAGCTACACCATCTAATTTAATTCTAGGGATGCTCCAAGAAAGGTCGCTGTGTAAAGAGATAAACCAAGGTCTCCACATTCTCCTTTTTTCTTCACTCTCCTCTAATAAAAGAGTAGCTATTCCTTATAAATTTTTTTAAAGCAAATTGGAATGTTCTGCCTCTACTAATAAGCACCCAGAATGATAAAATACAGACATTACTCACATAATATGAGCACTGCTGAAACTACAAACACATCATTTTCTATTGCAAGCAGAGCAAGAAATAGCTATTTTTGTGGATCTGCAGAGTGATTTGATTGTGTACAAAAGAAGCAAGTGAAAATCACACCAGAGTGAAAATTGTATTACACACATGAGGAAGATAACTTACCAGTCTGTGCACAACTAATGGTTAGATATGGAATGAAGTTCGTTTGAGCCCTTAACTGGAAAAATATACTCTATAACTTTTCACTGGAAATGTATTTTTAAGGAATAAACATTTTGTTGTTGATGTCATGGTGGTGGTTTTTTGTTTTGGCTTTCTCTGTTAGTTTAAGGCAATTGTTTTTAGGGCTTTCTCAAGAAAAAATACTTGAATAAGTAGTAAGTGGTGATTGCTCACCCAGGAATTAATCAATTTGTTATATACTTTCTTGATATGCCCCATATTCATTATGGTATTTGAAAAAAATTAGAGAACCCACTGGAGTTGTTATTATGATTAAATGAAATAGTCAACATCATAAATAAATAAATACTTAAATGAGAGGCACATATCCGGTGCTCTATAAGTGTTGGCTGTCAGGGATAACACATTTACAAAGACTACTGTCTCTTACCATATAAAGTATTCCAATTTTTGCTTCTGCATCATTCCTAATTCAAGCGGTTTGGGATGAGTAATTGGTCCAGCCCCATTCCTTAACTTTCTCTGTAGAAAATACAAAGTTCCACATGCAAAAAAACAAAAACAAACAAAAAAAACACCCTGCTAGTTAGAGAAGAACAATTTCTTGAGGTTGTTAACAGAGAAAAATACACTTGCCTCTTTTTTATTTGACTTATTAGATTTTTTAAATCGTATTTGGCAAAAAAAAAAAAAAGAAGGGAAGGAAGGATGGGTAAAAATAGAAAAGTAACTCCCAGGCCATTTGCATGGGCAAGGCCATAAGCTAAAATAGCCAAATTATCCATTAAACTAAAATAAACTTAACTTCAGACACTATAATCTCCCCTATTTCAGTTTCCCCAATTTGCTTAAGGAAATAAAATTTTATTAAGTAATATTGGAGAAAAACACATTTATCTTATACTGAGAAGTATCACTTTCCATTTAGGGGTGCCTGGATTTTAATGATAACAGCAAAAAATCTGGGGTCTTTCTACTGTGCCCGCATATTTTTATGGACAAGATTTATTTGACAGAAAGTAACCATTTCATTACTTCAGGACATTACATTCAAATTTAGATATATATGTACATAGGTATGTATACATACATCTATATACACACAACTGTTCATTTATACATGTAGATAAATACACACATGTATCCATATGAACATATGCCGAGAGAGGGAAAGTTTTATCAAAAATGTAATCTAGTATCCTTTTTTAAAATGTTAATATTTATCACAGGTCTTAAATGTTCAGTTGGTGTTTTTAACAATCATATGCATGTGTGCAAACATCATCCAAATCAAAATAGAGAACGTTTCCATCACTGGACAAAGTAATCTAGGGTTCCTTTTCAGTCAACCCCTATTCTACAGAGGCAACCACTTTTTAAGTTCCATCTCTATAGATTAGTTTTGCCTGTCCTTGGAATTTTAACGAATGGCATAATACAGTATGTTTTCTTTTGTGTCTGGCTTTTTGCACTCAATATAATGTTTTTGAAATCATTTCATGTTGTTGAGTTGATCATTGTTTGTTCCTTCTTATTGGTATATTACATGAATAATCCACAAATTATGTAGTCATGTTCCTGATAAAGAACATTTGGTTTGTTTTTGTTTTTTGGCTATTATGAATAAGACTATTATCAACATCTTGTAAAAGATGTTGTACGGTCGTATGTTTTTCATTTTCTTGGGTAAATACCTAGGAGTGCAATTACCGGGTTAAGGGTAAGTACGTGTCTAACTTTATAAGAAACTGCCAAACTTTTTTTCAGCATGATTGGCCCACTCCCGTGAGCAATGTACTACAGTTCCATGTGTTCCACATCCTTGCAAAAATTTGGTATTAACGGGCTTCTTCTCTTTTAGCCAGTCTAATCAGTGTTCCATAGTGCCTCATGATAGATTTAATAGTCTTTTTCCTTGTGATTAATGATGTTGAGTACATATTATGTTTGTTGGCCTCTTTTGAGAGGTGTATATTCAAGTCTTTTGACTATTTTATAGTGGGTTGTTTGCTTTTTATTGTTTTGTAGGAGTTACTTATATACTTTGGGTTAGATTATTTTATGAGACATATGAGCTACAAGTATGTCTGAGGCTCGCATGTCCATGTTTAATGAAATATGTGACAAGAAGAATATTTTAATTTGGATAAATTCTAGTTTATCAATTTGTTTTCCTTTCATCTTGTCTGAGAAATATTTGCCTATCTCTAAGTCACAAAAGTAGTCTCATATGTTTTCTGCTAATAGCTAGATTACTAAAAATTAGTTTTCTGTATATGTGTGAGTCTGTTACTAGACTCTTTATTTTGTTACACTGATTCATTTTTCTTCTTGACACCAACACCACACTGCCTTGATTACTGTGACAATATAAGTTTTGAAATCATGTAACGCTAGCTCTCCAACTTTGTTCTTTTTCAGAGGTGTTTTGGCTACTCTAGCTAGGTACTGTGCATTTTATACAAATTTCTGAACAAACTTGTCAATATCAATTTCTGCCAGAAAAACAACTCTGAGATTTTAGTAAGGCTGTACATACACCATACATCCATTTAAGGATAATTGACAGCTTAAACATTTTGAGACTTCTGACAGATGAACAAGTTATAACCTTCCTACATATTTAGGTCTTCTTTAATTTTTCTCAGGAATGTTTTGTAGTTTTTACTCTACAAACATTGGAAATCTTATGACAAATCTCTTCCTTCAATGTTATTGTAAATGTTATAGTAAATGTCTCATACATTTTAAGTTACTGTAACTAATTTACTTTTAATCATTATAAAAGTATTTTAATTCATCAGACTTATGCTTCTTGAGTTAATGCTTTCAATTTTTTTGTCTTTTCTGTGTCTTTTTTGAGTAACTTTCTATGTGGATTATAATGAGTTTAATTTTAAACTTTTGAGAAGATTTTCTGGTATTAATTATTTTTATAGCTTTTAATGTTTTTTAAAAATTGTTTTGAAATAACTTTACCACTGAATATTAAAAGAAGAATGAAACTTATTATGTAACACAACACTACATAGGAGGAGAATTTAACATCCTTTTAGCTCCTGTATCCCATTTTATAGTGTTTAGATGTATTACTTAACATTTTAAATGTTATTTTTATATACAGTATGAATACCATTTCAATAATTAATTTTTAACATTTAGATTTATGATACTTATAAGGCATTTATAAAAATTATTTTGAATTATCTTCACACTGAACTGGCTTAAATAATCAATTCTTTGATATCTTGATTTGTTCATTTCATGTTTTCTCTTTTGAGTTATTTCCCAGGTAACTAAAGTAGCATATTTTATCACCTTGTTCTTATAGCAAAAACAGATGTTCTATATATTTTGATTGCCTTCACAAAAGAAAAAATCTTGCCTTTTAAATTATTTCATAAAAACTTTTCTTCTGAAAATTCAGTAGATTCTCTAAAGAAGCCCTTATAGCCTTCTAATTACTCTTATAATGTTTTAGAAGAGAGATCTAAAATCAGCCATGTTTTACTTTTTTTAGATTATCAGTATATTTTTCCATTAGGATACATACAAAATTTTTCCTCTTGATTTCTCTATTTCAGAATTTTGTCCTAATGGATTTTTGTCTGGTTACTTTTTAATTAATTTTGCTTGGGATGTAAGGAGACCTTTTGATTGGGAAACATTTATCACTTTTTCTCAAAATGTTTTCTTTGGTTATATTATTGATTATTGCACTAATTCTTTTTTTCTTCTCTTACTAAATAATATTACTATTCTAAAGGCATGATGTAAGTTATTTTTATTCAATGTCATTCGCCTTTTTCCAAACTATCTGTCCTATTGTCTAAATTCTTGGAGAGCTTCTTCAGTTTGTCACCAGTATCAAAAAATTCAGTCTTGCTGAGTATTCATTTGGCTCCTTGCTCTCTTTGATGAAGATTTTATTTCTGCTATTATATTTATTGTGTTCTTACAATCTTTTCTTTTTAAATCTCGCTCATCTCCCTTTCCATCATAATACCTCTTTGCTTTGTTCTTTGGAATTCCTCTCACATATTTCTCAGTGGTGTCATTATACATTCTATGGAGACTACTCAGGGTTTCCTAAAACTTTATTCTGCCTTCACTAGCAGAAATCATACGTGAAAATATTGTCAGTGTTTTGAATCTTTGTAATGATGTTTCTTTTTTTATTTCCAATGCTTTTTATCAGTTGTCTCAATCAATTCAGGCTGCTATTGCAAAAATATTATATAAAAATATAATAGACTAGGTGGCTTAAACAACAGATATTCATTTCTCATAATTCTGGAGGGTGAGAAGTCCAATATTAGGGACTGGTAGATTCAGCTTCTGGTGAGGTTCCACTACCTGGTTCATAGACGGTCATCTTTCCACTGTGTCCTCACATGGCAGAAGGGACAAGAGTGCTCTCTGGGGTATTTTTCATAAGGGAACCAACCCCATTCATAGGGGCTCCACCCTTATGACATATTCACCTCCCAGAGGCCCCAAATTCTAATACCATCACCTTGGAGCTTATAAATTCAAAATAGGAATTTTTTACTTTTGTTTTAAATTCCGAGGTATATGTGCTGGATGTGCAGGTTTGTTACACAGGTAAACGTGTGCCATGGTGGTTTGCTGCACAGATCATCCCATCACCTTGGTACTAAGCCCAGCATCCATTAGCTATTCTTCGTGATGCTCTCCCTCCCCTTACCTGCTCCCTGCCCAAAGGCCCCAGTGTGTGCTCTTCCCCTCTATGTGTCCATGTGTTCTCATCATTCAGCTCCCACTTATAAGTGAGAACATGCAGTGTTTGGTTTTCTGTTCCTGCATTAGTTTGCTGAGGATAATGGCGTCCAACTCCATTCATGTCCCTGCAGAGGACATAATCTTCTTCCTTTTTATGGTTGCATAGTATTCCATGGTGTATATATGCCATATTTTCTTTATCCAGACCATCACTGAAGGGCATTTAGGTTGATTCAATGTCTTGAACAATGAATAGTGAACAGTGCTGCAATGAACATATGTATGCATGTATCTTTATTATAGAATGATTTATATTCCTTTGGGTATATATCCAGCAATGGGATTGCTGGGTCAAATGGCATTTCAGCCTCTAGGTCTTTGAGGAATCGGCACACTGTCTTCTGCAATGGTTGAACTAATTTGTACTCCCATCAACAGTCTAAAGGTGTTCCTTCTTCTCCACAACCTTGCAACCATCTGTTGGGTTTTACTTTTTTTTTTTTTTTTTTTTTGAGATGGAGTCTCGGTCTGTCGCCCAGGTTGGAGTGCAGTGGCGCAATCTCAGCTCACTGCAAGCTCCGCCTCCCGGGTTCACCCCATTCTCCTGCCTCAGCCACCTGAGTAGCTGAGACTACAGGCACCCGCCACCATGCCCGGCTAATTTTTTGTAGTTTTAATAGAGACGGGATTTCACCGTGTTAGCCAGGATAGTCTTGACCTCCTGAACTTGTGATCTGCCCACCTCAGCCTCCCAAAGTGCTGGGATTACAGGCATGAGCCACCGCGCCCGGCCCCGGGTTTTGTTTTTTAGTAAAAGCCATTCTGACTGGCATGAGATGGTAACTTATTGCGATTTTGATTTCCATTTCTCTAATGATCAGTGATTCAACATAGGAACATTTACAGGGACACAAACATTCAGTCTGTGATACCAGACTTGATGGATTTCATATTCCTACTTCATACATCCTATAATCAGAAGATTTCTAGCCACAAATGATATTTTCCAATAAAAATGGTTTGTATCTTTCTCTTGTCCCCATTCAATGTCATCTTGGGTATTGGAAGAATCCTTTTATTAATTTTAACCTGGAAGACATAATTGTGGTCATTCTTCCTAGTAAAATTTCTATAATCATGTATGCATTTAACTTAACGTTATTCTGTTTAATTATTTGGAGTTAATTGTATCTCTGCTATTTCTTTCATGCTCTAAGCCTACTGAATACACAGCAAGAAAACAAAAATGACCAATTTTCTGCTCTCAATGCTCTTTTTGTTCTATATCTTAATCAGCCATGGTCTACTTCCTGGAACCATACCTGTCAGGGCACAATATACTACAACTAATCCTGTTTCCCATTTACACCAGTTGATACTCCACCTCATGTTTTTCCCTGTAAGTTTCACTTTCTAAATGAATATACACGAGGAGGTGCCGGTGAGGGAGGAGAATAAGAGTGAGTACGCTGGTTGCTTCAAGCACACATTCATGAAGCAAACAATTAACTTTCAATGGTACAAATGCAAAACCTCAAAACCTTTCTGCTATTGTATTTATTGTGTTCTTGCAATCTTTTTAAAAATCTCACTCATCCCCTTTTCCATCATAATACCATATCAATGGTGGAATTAGTGGTTCACCTTTTCAGGTTGGCAATTTTTCTTGGTTTCTGGAATGTGTTCATCACATTCTCTGTTAAGCTCCACAGTAATCTTAGCTAACGCAATTTGATCTTAGATTTTGCAAAAATGGACTGGTACTTTTTGCTTTTATTTTTGTTGTCAGTTTTTGTTGTTGTTATTTTTTTTCCTGTGTCCTCATAAGGATTTTAGGAAAAAACCAGAACTATTATGTTAGGGACAGATTATCTGACCACATTTTAAAATAGAAGGCCATTAGAATCCTTCTTCATTGCCATTGAAAGCCTTCATTCATTTATTTCACATTAATCTGTCAGCAACCACATACATAACATTTGACTTTCTGACCTTCCCTTACTCATATCGTCAGTACAAAGCGAAATTAATCACTGCTTCTGAATAAGATAGCCTCTGATTTTTCACTATTCAGCACACCACGGTGGAAGTCTTATAGAGAAAACACTCCCTCTGAAACCATTTCACCAATGTCAGAGAAAGAGAGAATACTCTTTTTACAACACACGCACACCTTTGAAATACTATAGGTTCAGTTCCTGACCACTGCAATAAGCTAATATAACAATAAAGCAAGTCACACGAATTTTTTGGCTTCTCAGTGCATATGAAAATTAGGTTTACACTATAACATCTAACACCAGTCAAACTAGCTATTATTAAAGAGTCAAAAAATAATAGATGCAGGTGAGGCTGTGGAGAAAAGAGAATGCTTATACACTGTTGGCAGGAATGTAAGTTAATTCAGCTACTGCAGAAAGCAGTTTGAACATTTCTCAAAGAACTTAAAATAGAACTAACATTTGACCCAGCAATTCCATTACTCAGTGTATACCCAAAGGAAAATATAAAGTTCTACCAAAAAGACACATGTTCATCACAGCACTAGTCACAATAACAAAGACATGGCATCAACCAAGGTGCCCATCAACAGTGGATTGGAAAAAGAAAATGTGGCACATATACACCATGGAATACTATGCAGCCATGAAAAAGAATCAAATCATGTCCATTGTAGCAATATGGATGCAGCTGGAGGCCATTATCCTAAGCAAATTAACACAGAAATAGAAAGTCAAATACAGCATGCTCTCACTTATAAGTAGGAACTAAACATTGGGTACACACAGACATAAAGATGGGACCATAAGACACTTGAGTTTACTAAGGGGAGAGTGGGGACAAGGGCTGGAAACCTACCTAGTGAGTACTATGCTGACTACTGGGGTGGTGGGATCATTTACACCCCAAACCTCAGTGTCATGCAATACACTCATGTGACAAACCTGCCCATGTACCTCTTGAATCTAAAACACACACTGAAATTATAAAAATCAAAACAACAACAACAAACTAACCTACTCTTTGATTCATAGGCTACAGAATGGAAGTTATGCTAGCAGGCATGAAAACAACATTAATCTCCTTGTACATCTCCGTCAGAGATCTTAGGTGACCAAGTGCATTGTCAATGAGCAATAATATTTTGAAAAAACTCTTTTTTCTGAGCAGCAGTTCTCAAGAGTGGACTTAGAATACTTAGTAAACCATATTACAAACAGATATGCTGTCATCTAGGCTTAGTTGTTCCATTTATAGAGCACAGGCAGAGTAGCTTTAACATTATTTTTAAGGGCCATAGGAATTTTTGGATGGTAAATGAGCATGGGTTTCAACTTAATTCACCACCTACATTAGCCTCTAACCAGAGAGTCAGCCTGCCCTTTGAATCTTTGAAGCCAGGCATGGACTTTCTTCTCTAGCTATGAAAGTCCTAGATGGCATCTTTCAATAGAAGGATGTTTCATATACATTGAAAATGTGTTGTTTAATGTACCCCCCTTCATCAATTATCTTAGATGTGCTGGATAACTTGCTGCAGCTTCTCCATCAGCACTTGCTTTTATGTTTTGGAGATGGCTTCTTTCCTTAAATATCATGAATCAACCTCTGCTAGCTCCAACTTTTCTTCTGCAGCGTTCTCACCTCTCAGCCTTCACAGAATTGAAGAGAGTTAGAGCCTGTGAATTAGGCTTTGACTTAAGAAAATGTTCTGCCAACCAGGCACAGTGGCTCACGCCTGTAATCCCAGCACTTTGGAAGGCTGAGGCGGGCGAATCATGACGTCAAGGGTTCAAGACCAGCTTGGCCAACACGGTGAAACCCCATCTCTACTAAAAATACAAAAAATTAGCTGGGTATGCTGGCAGGCGCCCTGTAATCCCAGCTACTTGGGAGGCTGAGGCAGGAGAATCTCTTAAACCCAGGAGGCAGAGGTTACAGTGAGCTGAGATAGTGCCACCGCACTCCAGCCCGGGCAACAGTGCAAGAGTCCGTCTCAACAAAACAAGAAAATGTCGTGGCTAGTTTGATCTTTAATTCAGACCACTAAAACTTTCTCCACATCAGCAATATGTTTATTTTGCTTTCCTGTCATTCGTGTGTTCACTGGAATAGTACTTTTAATTTCTTTCAAGAACTTTTCCTCTACATTCACAACCTGGCTAATTGTTTGGCACACAAGGCCTAGCTTTTGGCCCATCTCAGCTTTTGACATGACTTCCTCACTAAGCTTCATCATTTGTAGTTTTTAATTTAAAGGGAGAGATGTGTGACTCTTTCTTTCACTTGCACATCCAGAGGCTATTGTGGGGTTGTTAGTTGGCCTAATTTTAACACTATGTCTCAGGACTGGGGATGCCCCAGGAGAGGGAGTGAGATAGAGGAGTGGCCAGTTAGTAGAGCAGTCAGAACACACACATTTATCCATTAAGTTCACCGTCATATATGGGTGTGATTTGTGACACCCCAGGACAATTACAATAGCAACAGCAAAGATCACCAATCACAGATCACCAAAAAAATATAATAATGATTAAAAAAAGTTTGAAATACTACCAGAATTATCAAAATGTGACATGGAGACAAGAAGTGAGTACACGCTGTTGGAGAATTGGTACCAATAGACTTGCTTGAAGCAGAGTTTCCACAAACCTTCAGTTTGTAAAAAACACAATATCTGCAAAGAGCAATAAAGCAAAATGCAATAAAATGAGGTATTCCTATATTTGAGTGTAATGGAACAGTTTATATTCTCTTTACTTTCCTCTCATTGTTTTTACAGCCATTAATCATATTTCAGCATTACCAGTAGAGACCTCTTGCCATCTTGGTGAGGTATGGAAGGAACTAGTGTGGCGGACTCAAAAGGACACTGAATTAGTTTTGTAAAAATTTAAGCTAATCCTGGCTCTGTTACTAACAAGGTTTGTGACCTAGGTCAATCACTTAATCCCACTAGCTCTCAGTTTTTTCATCTATAAAATCATTTTCCCTTTCAACTCTCCTTCTATAATGAAAGAAAAATATTACACAAATTCTCATGGAGTGAAAGCCATTATCAAGGTACATCAGATTATCCAGTTATGCCACACATTTCCAAATATCGTAGTTTATATAACCCCAACTTTCAGATCAACTCTTTCTTCATGTGACAGAGTTTCTCTGAGCTCAGAGGCTCAGTATTAAATTAACCTAATATCTCTTTCCATTATAACTCTACAGTGCAATTCTAGCTGTTAGATTCTTAACTTTTTGGACCAATTTCTGCCTTGATTCATTTTCCTGTCCTAACTTCATGCACCTGTGACCTGAACATTGCCTGGTGCCCGACATTTGGCTTAATGCTCTGCTGTTAGTGTCTTGAATTTCTTAAGAATTTTATATCTGAACTTGTATTTTGGGAGTGAAGTCCTTTGGGACCATGGAACATGTATGTTGTCTTAGGCAGTTTGGGCTGCTATAACAAATTCTCACAGATTGGATGGCTTGAACACAAACATTTATTTGTCATAGTTCTGGAAATCCAAGACCAGGATGCCAGCATGGTCCGGTTCTTGTGAGGGCCCTATTACAGGTTGCAGACAACCAACTTTTCCTTGTATATGTACATGGCAGAAAGAGAATAAGCTAGCTTTCTGGGCTGTTCTTACAAGAGCACTAATCCCATTCCCAAAAGCCCCATGCTATGACTTAAAGGCCCTACTCTAAATACAAACACATAGGGATTAGGGTCCTGTCATATGAATAAATGAATTTGGGGGTAACACCAACATTCAGCCAATTCACATAGGAACAGAGGAGATATGCACAATGTACATGTCCACCATCCCTTGCAGACCCATTTTCACAGAGCATTCAGGATACTCCATTGGCCCAGAATTCTGGAGAGCACATGATCCAGGGGAGTTCAGCGAGACCCAGAGCATATAAGGTAAACATGTTACATCTGCAACTGGGTAAGGCAGGCTGGGGAGATAGGGATCCCTGACTCCAAGAGTCTCTTTATATTCTAACCAGAACTTGCTTGTAATGCCAAAAGAAGTCAGGGACACGCTAAGAAATAAATGAATAAGGAACCCCCTCATGATCTTTCTTACATTTTATTTTCTTGTATTAACCAACCATTTATGCTGAAAAAGGATAAAATTCAAGGAAAGGGAAAGATATGGCAACACGTAGTCCTCTTTTGTTTCCTTCTTAATCCTTCTTTACTCATCGGTAAACTCAGAGGTACAGAGTTTTGGTAGAATGTGGGCATATAAAGAAGTCAAAAGTAGTTTCGTATCGCGTTTCCACTGCCTGGTAAGAACAGAATACATGTGCACACATGAACCTGTTCTTAATGAAGACTCTTGGGCCCCACTTTTAACCTACAAAATCAAAACCTGCAGTTTAACAGGCCTCCGAGGTGATTTGAAAGGACTTTAATATTTGAGAAGCATCAGCCTCAATTTAAAATGATTTTTAAATGGTGGGATGGAGACAGAGAGAGAGAGAGAGAAAGGAAGAATGAGAGGGAGGGAGAGGAAAAAGAAAGTAAAAGAAAAGCACCGCTAAAAGTCTTTTATTTCATCCATATTTAGTCTGAAGCCGGGGACTTTGTTCCATCGTTTCCTTTACTCACTTTTCTTCTTTTTGTTTTGTTTTTTCCAAGTCTTTTTGTTGCTGTTGTTATTATACTGAAGAGCTACATGAGACAGAGAGCTTGGCAGCCTTCCCACAATCCTCAGCATGTGGGAATAGCAAGTAATAAAGTGTTCGCCCTGCCAACTGGTGGTTCCATGTAAATGTCTCTGTTAACAACCAACACTGCTGCTAGCAGCCATCGGAGCAAAGCGGCAAATCTGTTCCTCTCTCTGGTGTGGAAAACACTACCGAAAAAGTCACCTAATTACTTGATTAAGATATATCAATCCTGGAAATTGTTGATCTAGAACATTGAGTCTCTGACATTTAGTTCATTCTTGATTAAACAGAATAGTTTCCACCTGACTCTTTGTGTTATCTCCCAGTACTGTGTGCCATGCCTAGAATTCTAACAGAAGAACCTTTTTTTATGGGGGAGAGAGAGAAAAAAAGTACAGTTTGCGGTCAGATCCTTTCAGCTGTTTTAGTACAGACCTTCAATAAGCCCCTGTGTTAATAATGGGAAAGATAGATGACCCAGAAAGACTAAGGCTCTCTATAAGCCTCTGATAATAATTGAGAAAATCATTATTTCTTTTTTTTTTTTTTTTTTTTTTTTTTTTTTGAGACGGAGTCTTGCTCTGTCGCCCAGGCTGGAGTGCAGTGGCGCAATCTCGGCTCACGGCAAGCTCCACCTCCCAAGTTCACGCCATTCTCCTGCCTCAGCCTCCTGAGTAGCTGGGACTACAGGCGCCCGCCACCGCGCCCGGCTAATTTTTTTGTATTTTTAGTAGAGGCGGGGTTTCACCATGTTAGCCAGGATGGTCTCGATCTCCTGACCTCCTGATCCACCCGCCTCAGCCTCCCAAAGTGCTGGGATTACAGGCGTGAGCCACCGCGCCCTGCCCATTATTTCTTTTAAGCATCCTAATTCTCTTATTTTGAAAAACACTGAGAATTTTCTCCCATACCTAGGCTACAAAAACCCAGTCCCACCCCACCCTATTGAAATGCATCATTGAGGAGGATTTCTTCCTGTACCTTCTCACATCCAAATTTATTTCCATTTCTTTCTCCCCACAAGATGCAGTTTATCTGATTCAGTCATTATCCACCTGAGGCAGGAGTGGATGCAATTTAGTGGCAAGCTGCTTCTTTTGGTCATGATGCCGCACCACCACTTTAAGAGCATCAGGTAGCCTACCTTCAGGGATCACCAGCACCAAGAATTGAATAATAATGAAAAAGTTCTTCCAAAGATTGAATTTTCTTTGAAAGCTACAGTGAGAGGAATGAAGACCAGGATAACACCCCCAAGAAGCCATATTGTGTGTTAGTTATTTCAAAGAAGCGGTTACTATTTGCAACTAAAATAAATGGGCCTCATTTTACTCCCAGAAACACCTTCCTTAATTTAAAAAGAATGAACATTTGCTGTTATTATCAACTTCTGGTTGACATTCAAGTAGGGCTGTTTACCATAATTCCATGGTTTCTTCTTCATATGACCGTCTGGCTATTGTCACATAAATAAAAACCCAGAGAAGACTGTTTAGAATGATCCCGGCTTTCTTTCTACTTCTGAAACATAATGAACCAGGTAGCAAGTCAGTATCATCTGGGACTGCACATACATCCAGAAAAGTAACCCTGTTTAGCCCAGTGCCAAAGCACCACATCCAATCCATCCATGTGATCTCGGGCTTTAAAGAGAAGTGAGTTTATTTGGTGCTATCATAAAACTAGAATCCAGAAGAAAAAATGAGCCTTCAGTGGCTCAGTTTTAGCACCATAGGACACAAATTTGTTTCAGCTGGCACAAAGAGAGATGTATAAGCTAGAATAATTTCCATTTTACCAAAGGAATAGATAGAGCTTTCAGAGTCAAGTCATTGCTCTCCTATCCCATATAGAAATGATATAAGAGCAAAGTGTAGTATATCTTGACCACTGTAGTATTAGAGTTCTAATAGAACTAATTATATATTTATAAAATTTATTATATATTTATAATTTATATAATATATATAATTTATATATATTCTATTAGAACTAATAAAATAGGTCTAATTTTGTTCTAATTAGACTCTTTTGTTCACTTAAAGGTAGGAGAAGCCCAAAGTGTCCTAGTAGCAATCTTAATTTCCAGTTTAATGGAATCATTGTTGTGTCTCCTGGTAGTAGCATTCCTCCCTCTGGAACTAAGACCTCTAGGCCAGCAGAATGTAATATCACAGGAACAGGAAGCAAAAATTTTGCAAGTGGATAACTAGGGGTAATGGTGAGTGGTGTCACTTCCACTTCCACCCCTTGATTCTTGGACGCATGAATCCTGGTTATGGGAGAAACAGTACCATATATTGGACCCTGATTGAGAGCATACACAGCCTTTTGGAGAACTTTGCCCCAGCCCTGCAAAGTATTGTCACCTAGTTGGCATTATAATTGTGACTTCAAAAGGCCATTACACCATCCTATCAATCCAGCTGCTTCAGGATGATGGGGAACAAGGTAAGACCAGTGAATTCCATGAGCATGAGCCCACTGCTGCACTACTTTAGCCATAAAGTGAGCGCCTTGGTCAGAGTCAATGCTCTATGGAACACCATGACGGTGGATAAGGCATTCCTTGAGTCCACGGATGGTAGTCTTGGCAGAAGCATTGCATGCAGAATAAGCAATCCCATATCCAGAGTTTCTATTCCAGTGAGGACAAACCTCTGCCCTTTCCTTGATGGAAGAGGTCCAGTATAATCAACCTGCCACCAGATAGCTGGCAGATCACCCAGAGAATAATGCCATATCGAGGGCTCAATGTTGGTCTCTGCTGCTGGCAAATTGGTCACTCAGCAGTGGCTGTAGCCAAGTCAGCCTTGGTGAATGGAAGTCCAAGTTGCTAAGCCCATGCATAACCTCCATCCCTGCCACCATGGCCATTTTGTTCATGGGCCCATTGGGCGATGACAGGGGTGGCTGGGGAAAAAAGGCTGAGTGATGTCCACAGAACAGGTCATCCTATCCATTTGATTATGAAACTCCTCCTCTGCTGAGGTAACCCGTTGGTGAGCACTCACATGGGAAACAAAAATATTCAGTTTTTGACCACTCAGAGAGGTCCATCCACATATCTCTTCCCCAAATTTCTTTGTCACCAATTTTCCAATCATGCTTCTTCCAAGTTCCTGACCATCCAGCCAAACCATTGGCTACAGCCCATCGAGTCAGTATATAATCACACATCTGGGCATTTCTCCTTCCATGCAAATTGCACAACCAGGAGCATGGCTCAACATTCTGCCCACTTGGAAGACTTCCCTTTGCCGCTGTCCTTCAGGGATGTCCTAGAAAGGGGCTGTAGTGCTGCAGCTGTCCACTTTCAGGTGGTGCCTGCCTATCATGCAGAACCATGTGTGAACCAGGCCCTAGTCTTCTCTTCCTCCATCAGCTGATCATAGGGAACTCCCCATGAGGTCATAGGTGCAGGCTTGCAGAGAGAAAGCAGGGTGGCAAGAGTGGAGACCATGGGCATTTGAGTCACTTCCTCATGTAACTTACTTGTCCTTTCAGTACTTGCACTAGCCCAATAGCATATATACCACTTCCATTTGATGATGGAATGCTGCTGTGCACGACCCACTTCATGGCTAGATAGGTCAGAAAGCAACCAGTTCATGATAGGCACTTCAGGTCACAAGGTGACTTGATGACCCATAGTCAAATGTTCAGTTTCCACCAAAGCCCAGTAACAGTCCAAGAGCTGTCTCTCAAAAAGAGAGTAGTTATTTGCAGAAGATGGCAAGGCCTTACTCCAAATTCCCAGAGGCCTCCACTGTGATTCATCAATGGGAGTCTGCCAAAGGCTCCAAACAGCATTGCTATCTGCCACTGACACCTCAGGCACCATTGGATCTGCTGGGTCATATGGCCCAAATCGCAGAGCAACTTGCACGGCAGCCTCGACCTGTTGCAGAACCTTCTCCTGATCTGGACCCCACTCAAAACTGGCAGCCTTTCAGGTCACTCAATAAATGGGCCAGAGTAACACACCCAAATGAGGAATGTGCTGCCTCCAAAATCCAAATAGGCCCACTAAGCATTGTGCCTCTTTCATGGTTGTAGGAGGGGTCAAATGCAGCAACTTATCCCTCACCTTAGAAGGAATATCTCAACAGGCCCCACACCACTGGACCCCTAGAAATTTTGCTGAGATAGAAGGTCCCTGAATTTTAGTCAGATTTATTTCCCATCCTCTGGTACACAAATGTCTCACCAATAAGTCCAGTGTGTTTGCTACTTCTTGCTCACTGGATCCCATTAGCATAACGCCATCAATGTAATGGACCAGTGTGATACCTTGCAGAAGCAAAAAGCTATCAAGTTCTCTCCAAATAAGATTATGACACAAAGCTGGTGAGTTGATATATGCCTGAGGTAGGACAGTAAAGGTATATTGAAACAGCTGAAGGCAAATTGCTTCTGGTGGGCCTTATAGACAGGAATATAGAAAAAGGCATTTGCCAAGTCAATGGCTGCATACCAGGTACCAGGAGATGTGTTAATTTGTTCAAGCAATGAAACCACACCTGGTACAGCAGCTGCAATTGGAGTCACCACTTGGTTAAGCTTATGATAATCCACTGTCATTCTCCAAGATCCATCTGTCTTCTGCACAGGCCAAATGGGAGAGTTTAACGGAGATGTGGTGGGAATCACCACCCCTGTATCCTTCAAGTCCTTGATGGGGGCTCTAACCTCCACAATACCTCCAGAGATGTGATATGGTGTTTGATTTACTATTTTTATAGGTAGAGTCGGCTCTGATGGCTTCCATTTGGCCTTTCCCACCATAATAGCCCTCACCCTACCAGTCAGGAAGCCAGCGTGGGGGTTCTGCCAGCTGCTAAGTATGTCTGTGCCAATTGTGCATTCTAGCACTAGGGAAATGACCACAGGATGACTCTGGGGACCTACTGGACCCACTGTAATTTGGACCTGAACTAAAACTCCATTAATTACCTGACCTCCACAAGCCCCTACTTTAACAGAGGACCACAATGACATTTTGGGTCCCCTGGAATCAATGTCAGCTCAGAACAAGTGTCCAGTAGTCCCTGAAATATCTGATCATTTCCCTTTCCCCAATGCACAGTTACTCTGGTAAAAGGCCAGGGTCTCCTTGGGGAAGGATGGGAGATTCACTGCATAAATTATCAGTAGTGTAGTGGGGTCCTTCCTCAAGGGGACCTAGCCTCCCCTTCATTCAAGGAGTTCTGTGTCTGTAAACTGGCTCAAGTCTGGAAACCGATTGAGGGGCTGTGGTTCTCTCCTCTTATAATTCAAATTAGTCTTTTGTCCGTTTGATCTAGAAGTTTTCTGCTTGTATAAATTAAGTAGGAATGCAGTAGGCTTCCTAACAATTTCACTTCTAGGAACACTGTGGTTAATTATCCAATGCTAGAGCTCTACAAGAGTCAGACTATTCTGATTGCCACTTTGCCTCTGCTGTCCATTATGGTAGTTACGTCCACCTTGTCTTTGATGGTTGAGTGCCACCACTTGGCCCCTGCCACCTTGGGATCCAATTATTCCCATTATATTTAAATTTTGTAGTTGAGTGACTGTTGTTCCCACCATTAGATCTGACGTACGGAAAACAGCAATTACAGGGCTCTTCAAAAATGCAGGTGCTGCCCTCACAAATCTATTTCACAAGTAACTGGTCAAGGGTATATCTTCTGGACCCTCCCAGCTGGGAAGACTAGGTCTAAAGTGACTAATCCACTCTAGTCTTCCAATCTCCCTAAGCCTTTGAATCCCTTCCTCTACACTAAACCAACGGAGATCAGGTATTTCTAGCTTGCTCCCAGTGGGCCATCTTTTAATCCATATTTCAGCTAACCAAGCAAATAAACTATTAGAACCTTTTTTTTAAACTCCCTGAGCTGCAACATTAAAAACAGAGTCCCTACTTTGTGTGCCCAAATCAATAAATTCAACCTGCTCCAACTCTGTGTTCCTTCCACCATTATCCCATACCGTTAATATCCATTCCCATGCCTGTTCTATTTCTGCTTATATAAATTAGAGAACTCAAACAGTTCTTTTCGAGTATAGCACACCTCCTCATGGGTCACACTCTCAACCTCACCTCTTGGGGCCCACCAGGTCTTTAGTTATAGGTCTAGAAGCAAACAGGAGTATTGGGGGTGCCTCCGGAGGAGAATCAACGTTATTTTGCCTGGCAACTGCCTCGGGGAGGCTGTCACTGTTGCCTTAGGCAGCACAGGGTTTATCCCCTCAGACAAAGGTGGAAAGGCTGATGGCAGCATGGGTTGGGGAGGGAATGTTGTCACCACTGGGGATGGGGAAGCTGTTCCTTCTGGCAAACAAGGTCCATCAGAGTTTACAAACTCAGTGTCCCCAGCTTCAGCAGGGTCCCACACATCCCCATTCCAAGTTGCAGGGTCCCATTCTTTTCCAATCAATGCTCTCACTTTAACAGTAGACACCTGACAAGGTTGTGCATGCACCTTTCATTGCAGGTCAGCCACTCGCATGATAAGAGCTTGTGTCTGTTTTTCCACAATTTCAGTTCTTTTTCTACAGGGGATAAGACTCTCACTCAGGGCAATCTTAGCAGATTTGAGGCTCAGTATCTGCTTCTGAAGCCGGGAGACAGAATCCCTGAGTTCACCAATTTCTCTCATCATTTTGTCCACTGAACTTAGGAGTAACCAACCAGCCTCACTATATTCCTTGGTTCTCCACGTATGGTCAAAGGTATTATCTATAGAGCCACTAAACTCCTTGCCTCTCACGAGCAGTGAATCAGGAATGTCAAATGCATTTATTCTATATAACTCTCTAGTTTACACCAAGGACTATCAGTGGTCTCCATACTATTAGAAGTAGAGCCCTTAGCATTTTGGGGTCCAATCATATTAAACAGCAAACTCCAGAAACCCCAAAACCAATGAAAGAACTCCATCCTTAATATTCTGTTCCTCTAGAACCACTCCTGGTACCAAAATCTGTACTAGTCAGGGTTCTCTTAGAAGGACAGAACTAATAGGAGGTATATATATAATATATATTTATATTATATATAGTATATATTACATATTATATATTATATATTATATATATATATATATATATAAAGTTTTAACTTTATTGGAAGAAATATGGGAGAAAGATGTAGGCTGGGAGACTAGGCCCGTCTTGCCTCTTCACATTTTTCTGTCGGCTTTATATTCTCTGGAGTCTGCTTAGACGGTGCCCACCTGATTAAGGGTGAGTCTGCCTTTCCTAGCCCACTGACTCAAATGTTAGTCTTCTTTGGAACACCCTCACAGACACACCCAGGATCAATATTGCATCCTTCAATCCAATCAAGTTGACACTCAGTATTAACCATCACAACAACCATTCAGTCAAAACCTCGACAATCTCAGTTTTAAATATTGTATCCTATTATCACAGTCACTGCTCTTAACTATTATACATCCCTGTCTCTATAAATTTTGAAAATGCCTTAAGTATCTGAAGTACATTTTCTGTATACCTCCCATAATAAAAGAAAATTACTCAAATGTCTTCAAACCATGCTCCTATTTGATGTTCAGAAAAGTAGTCACTAATACATAGGTCACTGGAAAAATACCTAGCTGTCTCTTACAGCAGTTCCACCATATTTTAAATAAAACACAAGTCATATGCACATCTCTTGTTTGGATACTCCAGCAACACTCAGATAATGACACTTAAAAATACCCATGATCATTCCAAAGGATAGCTGCTGATAACCACTTGAGGAAACACACAAATTATTTAATGTTCTATACTTAGTATATAGCACATTTTTCTGAATATGCATTGGGTGGGAAATTACTGATAATTCTGGAATAAGGGAAATTAGCTTCAAGATTTCCAAAGCTATTCCTGGCTGTCACTTCAGATCAAAATCTTTAGCCAATCCAGGTAGTTCCTCATGTCTAAATTTGTAATAATTATGCTTTACCATTGTGTATGAGGTAAGAATTAACCACCTGTACTTGGCACATTAAGAAACTTCTAGACAAGCTTTCTCTCTTATATTATTTAGTGCTGTGTACTCCCCTTCTAGTAGAGGTTTACTTACAGTAAAAGGAGAAGATGCACAAACGGAATGCATCTGAAACCTTTAGAAGAGAAGAAATATCTGCGGGCCTTGGTATAATCTGCAGCTAATGTGAGCATTCTTGCACAGAAGCAAAAATAATGGAAGCTTTTGGTAAACCCAACACAACTGGCAACTCTCTATTTTTGTAATCATTTCTTACCTTCCTCATGGATGTTCTCTTAATTCTCTGACCATGTTTTTAAGACTCATATGTTAGACATTTTTCCTCTAACCAAATATAATGTCATTCCCTAGGGTTCTCTCTTCCAGTCTCTTCTCTTCTATTTGCTCTCCTTAGATAATTTAATTTACACCTATGACTAATATTTAAACTCACGATTTTCAAGTGTACACCATCAATTCCATTCTCTTTTCTAGGCCTGACATCCTATTCATCTTCAATCTTATGACCTTCAGACAGTTCATTCATACAGAGTCTAAAACTAAACTCAAAATCCCATTGTCCTTAAAATTTTACCTTTCCCAATGTTTCCAAACACAATTAACAGGATCTACATCTAATCAATAAACTGAACTAGAAACTTGAGATCATTCTGTTTATTTTACTAGACTGTAAGCCACATGATTGTAAGAACTTTGCCTCACTAGTCCCCATATACACAACAGGTAGCAAAGCACCAGGCATATGGCAGGTGCTTAGTAAATATGTAATCAATAGATTAATAAACCTTTGACTCATTCTTTTCCCTTTTCTTATTACTCATCTGGTTACTAAATTTTGTAGCTCTGTTCTAGAAGCATTTCTGGAATTCATCCTCTTTTTTCCATTTCTCCTGCCCCTGTCATGGACTTCTTTTCTGTATCTTATTCTTCTCATGGTCGTACATCCTCCACACTGCCACAAAGTTATCTTTCCAAAATAAAATTCGGTCACCAAGGGAACATTCCTGTTGGTCTCTCAAACTCTTCAACATGGGCTTCAGTCCAAATGTTTAGCTCTCACCATCTGGCATTTCTCTAATATAAACCTTACGGTCTACCCAGTTGGACTTGTTTTCATTCTTAAACACAGTGCATATTCTTCTATTTCCCATGAATTTGTTCATACTCTTCTCTTTGTCTGAAATGCTCTTCCACTCTTCTTGTCTCCTGGCAAGGCAAATCAACATTATCTCCTCTGTGAAATTTTCTCTTTCCCATAGATTCTTCCTATCTTGTTTGCCCATTGCCATTTGCTCAGCATTCTCTCAAGGACTTTCATATTATTTTTATTTCATGTTGATTTTGTCTGCCACATCATAAGATTCTTAAAGAAGGAACCATGCTGAATTTGTTTTTACTGCTCCCACTCCCCAGCAAGTATAGCATATAGTGGCCATTCAGTACATATTTTAAATTGAGTCATTGTGTGGCATATTGAGGAGAAACTTTAAGTCTGTATTGAATATGAAGTGGATGCTTGGCAGTATGCTTGTACCAAAATTCTGGAAAACTTCAAAATACCACGCAAAACTAGTGATTAAAGCATTATTACTACTAAAGACTTAAATCTAAAACTGCTAAAATAAAACATTGGAGAAAAGCTCCAGGACATTGGCCTGGGAAAAATTTTCATGAGTAGTAATAGCCCACAAGAGCAGGCAATCAAAGCAAATATGGACAAATGGGATCACATCGAGTTAAAAGCTTCTGCACAGCAAATGATACAAAAAACAAAGTGAAGAGACAACCCACAGAATGGGAGAAAATATTTGCAAACTACCCATCTGACAAAGGATTAATAACCAGAACACATAAGGAGCTCAAACAACTCTGTAGGAAAGAATCTGATAATCTGATCAAAAATGGGCAAAAGATTTGAATAGACATTCTCAAAAAACAAGACATACAAATGGAAAACAGGCATATGAAAATGTGCTCAATATCATTGATCATCAGAGAAATGCAAATCAATTTTGCGTTTCATCAGAGAAATGGAAAACTACAATGTCGTATCATCTCTTCCCAGTTAAAATGGCTTATATCCAAAAGACAGGCAATAACAAATGCTGGCAAGGATGTGGAGAAAAGGGAACCCTTGTCCACTGTTGGTGGGAATGTAAATTAGTACAGCCACTATAGAGAAGAGCCTGGAGGTTCCTCAAAAAACTAAAAATTGAGCTACCATAAGATTCAGCAGTCCTACTGCTGGGTATACGCCCAAAAGAAAGGAAATCAGTGTATCAAAGAGATATCCTCACTCCTATGTTTGTGCAGCACCATTTATAACAGTTAAGATTTGGAAGCAATCTAAGTGTCCATCAACAGATGAATGGATAAAGAAAATTGATACATATTCACAATACAGTACTATTCAGCCATAAAAAAAGAATGAGATTCTGTCATTTGCAACAACATGGATGGAACTGGAGATCCTCATCTTAAGTGAAATAAACCAGGCACAGACAAACATTGTATTTTCTCACTTATGTGTGGGACTTAAAAATCAAAACAATTGAACTCATGAACATAGGTAGTAGAAGGATGGTTACAAGAGGGTGGGAAAGGCAGCATGGGGCTGGGGAAGAGGTGGGGATGATCAATGGGTACAAAAAAATAGAAAGAATAAATACCTATTAATTGAGAGCACAATAGGGTGACTATAGTCAATAACAACTTAATTATACATTTTAAAATAACTTACAGAGTGTAAATCGATTTTTTGTAACTCAAAGGACAAATGCTTGAGGGCATGGAGACCCCATTTTCTATAATGTGATTATTTCACATTGCACACCTGTATCAAAACATCTCATGTACCTCACAGATATATACATCTACTATGTACCTATAAAAATTAAATATAATTTTTTTAAAAAACATTACTACTAAAACTCAGGTTATACAATGGAATAGGGCAAAGGGCTGAGAGAAGAGACAGAGAGCAGTTAGCAGTTTGTTTTTATGTGTGTAAGAATTATGTGGACAATTTTCACTTTTCTGACCTTGAATCATAAGCCTCCAAGGAGTCCACCTACACATGGTTTCCTGATGAGGTCAGCATGAGCCCTACTCCAGTACTTGCTACAGTTGTTTATCTAAGCAGGAGCAAGTAACAACTGGTACAGTTTCAACCTACAGTGAGTGGAATGAAAAATAGTTTGGCACAGACATCAAAACTATGTTAACATCATCAAGCACTGAGGTAGGGGTGGGACAAGCTTTATCCTACTTTACTTTCTGGAAATTATCTTTCCTCTATTTACAATACATTATGATCCTCTGGATAGGTGCTGATAGATGTGTGAGAGTCTGTGTCATTGTATGTCATTATATACATATATCTTTATTTCATTTATTCCATCAGCAATATAAACTGATTAAAGATGGTTCTATATCTAATAGAATTAATACATTTTCAAAAACTAAAAGAAATATATTCTGCTTGAAATAATCCTATGTTGTTTAAAGATCTCTGAATTGAGTCTGTATGTATAGATAACAAAAGGCCATAGTTGTATTTTTGAATTTTAACTTACCTACATTTCACTTTACCTTTAGCCCCCCATGATATCCTCTATCTAACACAGCAAGTGCCTTGGATTTACATCAATATCAGTGGCTTGTTTGCTTTTTTAATACTTAATAAAGATTTCTACTATTTGATCTGAAATTTGCCTATGAAAAGAGCATTGCACTTGGTAGATACATAGCAAAATGTTGCTATTCAAATGAATGATTAATATAAAGAGGACTGGCATCCTTAGTTGGTAATCTAGGGCCACATATGAGTGGGAACCTTGTAGCGCACTGCTAAGCCACAGACTCCTGCCATGCTGGGGTTGAAGGGGGAAAGAGCCTTACAAATCCCATCAGGGCCAACCTTCTCAGCATCCATAGATATGGATCTTTGCCAAAGAAGATAATCCCCTCTGCTCCCCACCACTACTGGTTTGATGGTATTAAGTCCTTCAATTTGAGACAGAAATTCTCCTCTCACCATTGGAGGGAGGTATAAAACCCAACTGAGACAGGAACATAAGACTATACTGATTTAACCACGTGATAAGTAAGAATTAGTAAACAAAATCAGAACTTTTCATAAAGTCTTTTTAAGTTATGTTTTGGATGAGTAACATCTTCAGGGAAAGTAAGCATGAGGAATAAACCTAAAAGGATGACAAAAAGGGAATTTCCAACTTGATGGGGGAAAGCATAATGAAGAAAGACTTAAATGAAAATAAATTTGTATTTATTGAAATCACTTGCTCACAACTGATCAAAAATGATAAAACCAATAATAGTGATAATAATTGAGTGTTGTTATATGCAAAATAATAAGCTAACCATTTTTTATAGGGTTATCTGATTTAATCCTCTAACAGAATCATGGGAGGCAAGTAATATTGTCCTCATTTCACAAATAAATGTTGCAGGTGTTCATTAACTTCCTCAAGGTCATATAGTTTAAAAAGTTTTGCAACTGAAATGGATTCTTAGGTCTGTCTGCCTCTAAATCCCATGCTCTTTCTTATAAAACACAAGTTATATTTATATAATACTTTCCACACAGGTGTTGTTTTGTTTTGTTTTGTGAGACAGTCTCGCTCTCTCGCCCAAGCTAGAGTACAGTGGCATGATCTCGGCTCACTGCAACCTCCTCCTCCCAGGTTCAAGCGATTTTCCTGTCTCAACCTCCTGAGTAGCTGGGATTATAGGCGCATGCCACCATGCCCGGCTAATTTTTGTATTTTTAGTAGAGACGGGGTTTCACCATGTTGGTCAGGCTTGTTTCGAACTCCTAACCTTGTGATCCGCCTGCTTTGGCCTCCCAAAGTGCTGGGATTACAGGCGTGAGCCATCACCCCCAGCCACAGGAAGTTTTTATATGTGGTTCCTCCTCCTCCAATTCCCACTTCAAAGTGGAATAAAATTTAGTAACAGTTGTAAAAGATTGGGTTCAAGACAGAAACTGAGTTCAGTCTTAAAGATACTAAAGAAAGTAACATTTTACATGCCCGAATTTTGATACCTGAGAATACTCTCCCAGCTTGTGGTCTTGATGGGGTACTTTATTTGAATTCAATGGATAGGTCAACCTGGAACTTTGGTTTGTAATCTGCTGCAACTCTGCTGACCAGTTGACTTCAGCAAAGGAAATCAATGATCCTAACCAAATCTCATGTGGCTTAGAGGGGCCAACCAAATACATTCCCTCAACTAGAGGAACTATCTAGTTAGATTTTGCATTTGATGTTAACCATGTTAGATTGCCACTAATGAAGACCAACTGAACATTTTTTATTGTTTTTATTATTATTGAACGGCAAGCTAGACAGTGGCTCCCTCAGGTAACAGTTACTGAGCTTCCACTGTTGGCCAGGCACTGTTATAGGTGCCGGAGAGTCCACAGGACCATGATGAACAAGGTCATTGCTTACACAGGACTTTTGCTCTAAAAAGAAAGAGTGACTCATTAAAAAGAAAGAAAATAATGGAGAAAATACCAGAATTAAACAGGGTGATGTGAAGGGATGTGGGGCTAGAACATCCTTTGTATGTTCAAAGATGGCCCTTTAATTAAATGACTTTTAATACACATCAAATGAAAAGATTATCAAACATTCAAGATGATTTTTTAAGTCCCAAATATATTCATAAAGTTTATTTGTAAGACAACCACTTATTCTGGGTAATAACTATTCAAGCCAGTTTGGCTATAATAAGGACATAACAGGTAGGTAGTTACTCCTTGAAATAGCCTATGGAATACAGCTGCCTGTCAAGATGATTTAGAAATTCCGAACTTGCTTCTTTTATTCTCCCAAGATCATTTATTATTAATTGCACATTCATGAGTTTTAAAGAGAGAAACAATATTAATTGGGCTTTGTGGGGGACCTTGTAAAATTGTGCAAGAGCCAGAGAGGCTGATGAAAGGAAAAGATTAATACCCATGTAGTGCCAGGAGGGTGACTAATGCGATTACTTCCTTATGAGGCTGTAGCTCTCAAACTCTCGATTCCAATTTTAACAGAACAAAGTATATTTGAAGCTCATGCACTGACTTTTTGCCCAAAAATATTTGAAAATTATTTTTGCTGCAATTAGAAACTTTATTCCAGAGATAAGAAGAGTTTTCCTATCCAGAATTAGATAATTATCATATTTGTGAACAAATTGGCTTTAGCCACAGTGAATAATACAAGTAGGTACAAGCACCAAAAATGTTACCACCGAATAGTTTTCTTTAGTATGGAAATGCTAGTCAATCTAAAGTATAACAGCATAAGGAATTTATTTATTATGGCCATTTCTTCATATAACATCACGGTTATGAGTGGTCTTTTTACGATATTTATTATACATTTTTAATTTGGATTCAATGTATCTGCATTGGATTTTTTTTCTTTCTAAACACAAATCTCTATCTATACTTACGTAATAATGACAATGCATTCTTTAATTAATTGTAACATTCTCAGTGTGGCCCTTATTATTGTTTTTCTTAAATACAGCAGCAATTACAACAACTTCACTCTACTAAGTGTTTAATTTTTAATTGAAGATGCACAAAAATTAGCCATGTCTTTCAGCTCGTCCTAAGAGAAGTCACCTGTCAACCTTCAATACAGTCAGAAGGATTCCAGGAGCAAAATGAAGAAAACTGAAAGCAGTGTTTCACTTATAAGACTAAGAGAATTTAAAAGACCCTTTTTAATGAATAAAATAAGCATTTTTATCTATGTTATCTATTTTATCTACTTTATCTAAGCATGTTATCTATAGTCATATAACTAACCACCCTAAAACTTAAATTTATTATCTCTCATATTTCTGTGAATTAGCTGAGCACAGCTTAGTGGTTCTTGCTTGGGGTCTCTAAGGCACCTGCAGTCAAAGTTGGACTGAGTGGCCACAGTGGCTCACTCTCATGGCTGGCAGACGATGCTGGCTCTTAGCTGCGAGCTTAGGTAGCTTGTCCATGTGACTTGGGCTTCTCACATCATGGCAGCTGAGTTTCAAAAGCAAGTGTTCCAAGACACTAAAAGAAGAAATGTACTAGTTTTCCATTACCATGTAACAAATTACCACAAACTTGGTGGCATAAAACAATGCCCATTTATTATCTCACAGTTTCTGTAGGTCAAAAGCCTGGGCATGGTTTAGCTGGATCTTCTGCTCAGGATCTCACAAGGCCTGATCAAGGTGTCAACCATGGTTACGATCTCAACGGAGTCTTAAGATTCTTTTTCAAGCTCACTTGGGTTGTTGGCAGAATTCATTTCTGGCAGTTATAGAACTCAAGGCAACTGCTTTCTTTGAGACAAACAGGGGAATGTCTCTGAGCTCAGGAAAGACATAAGCTTTTCTCTTTGTTTAAAAAAAAAAGAACAGCTGGCCAGCCACGATGGCTCATGCCTGTAATCCCAGCACTTTGGGAGGCCAAGGTGGGCAGATCACGAGGTCAAGAGATCGAGACCATCCTGGCCAGCATGGTGAAACCCCATCGCTACTAAAAATACAAAAATTAGCCAGGCATGTTGGTGGGCACTTGTAGTCCCAGCTACTTGGGAGGCTGAGGCAGGAGAATCACTTGAACCCAGGAGGCGGAGATTGCAGTGAGCTGAGACCACGCCACTGCACTCCAGCCTGGTGACAGAACGAGACTCTGTCTAAAAAGTAAAAATAAATAAATAAATAAATAAAAGGACAGCTTTATTGAAATATAACTTGCTCATTTAAGGTATGAAATTCAATAGTTTTTAGCAGAATTGTGCAACCATCATTGCTTTCTAACTTTAGGATGCTTTTGTCATCCCAGAAAGAAACCCTGTGCCCATTAGAAGTTACTTTTTTTTTTTTTTGAGATGGTGTCTCGCTCTGTCACCCAGTCTGGAGTGCAGTGGCATGGTCCCGACTCACTGTAACCTCTGCCTCCTGCATTCAAGTGATTCTCCAGCCTCAGCCTCCCGAGTACCTGAGACTACAGGCACACACCACTGTGTCCAGCTAGCTAATTTTTGTATTTTTAGTAGAGACCAGGTTTCACCATACTGGCCAGGCTGGTCTTGATATCCTGACCTCAGGTGATCTGCCTGTTTCGGCCTCCCAAAGTGCTGGGATTACAGACATAAGCCACCGCACTTGGCCAAGCAGTTACTTTCAATTCCACCACTGCCCCTAGCCCTAGGCAACCAGTAATCGTTTTTATCTCTATAAATTTTTTCCTGTTTAGTTATATTAGTGGAATCATTCACATTCACAAAAGACTTAGTGACTGATTCATAATCATGAGTCACTAAGTCTTTTGTGACTTAGCAAATGTTTTCAAGATATAATGTTGTATCATGTATTTGTACTTTATACTCTTTTATAGCTGAGTAATATTTTTATGGATATACCACATTTTATTTATCTATCAATGTTGATAGACATTTAGATTATTTTTATTTGGGGATTATTGTGAATAATGCTACTATAAACATTCATGCAGAAGTTTTTGTGTGCACATATGCTTGTATTTCACTTGGTTTTATACCTAGAAGTGAAATTGCTAGATTATATGATAACTCTATGTTGAACAATTTGAGGGACTGCTAAACTACTTTCCAAAGCAGCCACACGATTTTCCATTCTCACCAGCAATGTATGAAGATTTCTATTACTCCTCAACCTTTTCAACACTTGTTATTATCTGTTTTTTTTTATTACTACAACCATCCTATTGGGTGTGTAGTATCTCATTGTGGTTTTGATGTGCATGTCCCTAATGACTAATGATTTGAAGGTATCTTTTTATGTGCTTATTAGCCACTTGTATACCTTCTTTGGGAAAATATCTATTCAAATCCTTTATTCATTTTTAAAATTGAGTTATTGTTATTTCAATTCCTGAGTTTCCACAGGTTTTTTAAAAATATATTATGAATACATTTCTTGCTAGATATATGATTTGCAAATATTTTCCCAATTTAATTGGTTGACTTTTCACTTTCTAGATTATATCCTTAGAATCATTACAATTTTAATTTTGGTGAAGTACAATTTATCTTTTTTGGTCTTTTGCTACTTTGCTTTTGATGTTGTATCTAAGAAATTATTGCCTGCCCCAAGTTCATGATGTTTACTGTATGTTTCCTAAGCGTTTTATAGTTTTAGCCATTGCATTTAGGTCTAAAATCCACTTTGTGTTTATCTCTGTGTATGGTGTGAGGAAGGGGTCCAACTTCATTCTTTGGATATCCAGTTGTTCCAGCACTATTTGTTGCAAAGACCTAGCCCTCTTTAAAAGGACCACCTGACTAGTTCTAACCTAATCAAGATAAAGTCCCTTTCATTAATTCAAAGCCAACTTACTAGAGATCTTAATTACATCCAGAAATGCCTTGGCCATTGCCATATAAGGTAGCATAATTCCTGAAGTGACATATGTCATAGTCATAGGTCTCATCCCAAATCAAGAGAAGTCTACAGAATGAGGCATGCACTCTATGAGGTAAAATTTTGGAGGACAACTTAGAATTCCCACTACCATGGATAACTACCAGTGTCTTCAGGCCTGGACTTGAAAACTGACAGAACATCATTGCCATCATATTCTATCCACTAAGCAGTTATAGGGCCTACCAAAATGCAAAGGAGGAGTAATAGGGTTCACCTTTTCATGAAAGGAGTTCCTAAGAACACCTGCCTGTCTTTAATCTGCCACAACCTGTTATCATAAAAAGAAGTTTTAGAGATGGTTGTTTGTTTGTTTATTTGTTTATTTATTTATTGGATACAGAGTCTCACTCTGTCACCCAGGCTGGAGTGCAGTGGCACGATCTCAGCTCACTGCAATCTCCACCTCCTGGGTTCAAGTGATTTTCCTGCCCCAGCCTCCTGAGTAGCTGGGACTACATGTGTGCATCACCACGCCTGGCTAATTTTTTTGTATTTTAGTAAAGATGGGGTTTTGCTCTGTTGGCCAGGCTGGTTTCAAACTCCTGACCTCAAGTGATCTGCCCATCTTGGCCTCTCAAAGTGCTAGGATTACAGGAATGAGCCACTGTGCCCTACCTAGACATGGTTGTTTATTAAAATATTTAAATTCTAGTTTTCTTTCTTCTATTTTAAGATTCTTAAATACTCTGAAAATCAAGAAGACAATTTGTTGTAAAGAAAAGTCTGAAACAATATAATAACTACCTATGTTTATATACTGAAAAGAAATTAGAAACCCAATTCTTACAGGAATCTGGCCTCTTCCTCTGTTGATTTGTGCTTAGCATATGCCCAGGTGAATCACCTTAGCTGTTTCATACAGTGCATTTCTTCTTTGTGAGCAACAGGTGACCTATGAATGACCTTAGAAAGATGATTCAACTCATATACAGAAGCAGTTTTCTCAGAAGTAAGAGGTCCAAAATGACTTGATTAGAACTGAAAGAGAAGGCCTCATATTAATGTTAGTGCTACCAACAACTCTACCCCAACAAATTACTGTTTACTCCCCCCTCCAGCTTAATTCTAACAAGGTAGAATAAAGACACCAAATGGCACTGACTAATCTATGCCAATTTTTGTTAAAGTGTACAGGAAATGAAGACCTATACCAATATGCAAATTTCACAGGTATAAGCAACCTATAGTGGTTAAGACATTACACAAAGCTTGTCCTCATGCAAGAGGATGGGCAAAGTTTTTTTTTATTTTATTTTAAATAAAGTACTTCATCCCTGCACAAGTGAATAGGCCTATCTTACATACATAAGAAACATACTCCAGAAATATATGAAAACCAACTGTCTCTCTGTCTCTGTCTCTCTCTGTCTCCCTCCCCCTCTCTCTCACCAGCCTCTCTATCTCTCTGTCTCTTTTTCTGTCTTTCTCCCAGAAGATAACTGAAATGGAAATCTGAGGGAGGTTGATAGAATACTATATGAAGGAACAATCAGGATATTAAAATAGGTGTAGACTTTCTTGGAAAAAAATGTACAATTACTGTATTAGCCTAAGCTGAAATAATTATGTGTCTTTTTTTCATGATCACAAGGCAGAAAAAAAAAACACAAAACAAAACAAAAAATTAGAACTCAAAATAAAATATCTAGCTTGGTACCAGAGCAGTTTCTAAAACTTATCCTGATTAGTAGGCTAAACAAAAAATCCTCATGTCTGAGCTTGTATCTTCATTTTCTAAATGGTGATAATTGTATCTAACCTACCTATCTCAAAGAGGTATATTATAAGAATCCAGTAAAATATGTTCATATGTCTTTTTTCATAATTTTATTTTAAATTTAGGGGTACTTGTGCAGGTTTGTTATATAGGGAAAATTGTGTCATGGGGGTTCCTTGCACAGGTTATTTTGTCACCAAGGTATTAAGCCTAGTACCCATCAGTTATTTTTCCTCTCTCTCCTCCCACCCTTCATCCTCTGATCAGCCCCAGTGTGTGTTGTTCCCCTCTATGTGTCCATGTGTTCTCATTTAGCTCCCACTTATGAGTGAGAACATGTGTTATTTGGTTTTCTGTTCCTGTGTTAGTTTGCTAAGAATAATGGTCTCTAGCTCCATTCATGTTTCTGCCAAGGACATGATCTTGTACTTTTTATGGCTGCATAGTATTTCATGGTGTATATGTACCACATTTTCTTTATCCAGTCTATCATTGATGGGCATTTATGTTGATTCCATGTCTTTGCTATTGTAAATAGCACTGCAATGAACATATGCTGGCATGTATCTTTATAACAGAAGGATTCATATTCATTTGGGTATATACCAGTAATGGGATTGCTAAGTTGAGTGATATTTCTGTTTTTAGGTTTTTGAGGAATTGCCACACTGTCTTCCACAATGATTGAACTAATTTACGCTCCCACCTACAGTGTATAAGCATTCCTTTTTCTCCACAATGTTGCTAGCATCTGCTATTTTTTGACTTTTTAATAATAGCCATTCTGACTGGTGTGAGATGGTATCTGATTGCGGTTTTGATTTGCATCTCTCTAATGATCAGTGATATAGAAGCTGTTTTTCATATGCATGTTGGCCACATGTATGTCTTCTTTTAAGAAGTGTCTGTTCATTTCCTTTGCTCACTTTTCATTGGGGTTCTTTTCTTCTTGCACATTTGTTTAAGTTCCTTATAGATGCTGGATATTAGAAACTGCAAAAATTTTCTCCCATTATATATGTTGTCTGTTCATCCTGTTGATAGTTTCCCTTGCTGTGCAGAAGCTTTTTAGTTTAATTAGATCCCATTTATCAATTTTTGCTTTTGTTACAATTGCTTTTGGTACCTTCATCATGAAATCTTTGCCTGTTACTGTGTCCAGAATGGTATTGCCTAGGCTATCTTCCAGGGTTTTTATAGTTTTAGGTTCTACATTTAAGTCTTTAATCCATCTTGAGTTAATTTTTTTTATATGGGGAAGGGAAGGGGTTAAGTTTCAATCTTTTGCATATGGCTAATCAGTTATCCTAACACCATTTACTGATTAGGGAATCCTTTCCCCATTGCTTGTTTTTGTCAGGTTTGTTGAAGATTAAACAGTTGCAGGTGTGCAGCCTTATTTCTGGTTCTCTATTCTGTTTCATTGGTCTATGTGTCTGCTTTTATACCAGCATCATGCTGCTTTGGTTACTGTAGCCCTGTGGTATTGTTTGAATTTGGGTAGCATGATGCTTCCAGCTTTGTTCTTTTTGTTTAAGATTACCTTGGCTATTTAGGCTCTTTTTTGACTCCATATGAATTTTAAAATAGTTTTTTTCTTAGTTCTGTAAAGAATGTCAGCGGTAGTTTAATAGAAATGGCATTGGTCTATACATTGCTTTGGTCAGTATAGCCATTTTAATGATATTGATTCTTCCTATCCATGAACATGGAATCTTTTTCCATTTGTGTCATCTCTGATTTCTCTGAACAATGTTTTTTAATTATCTTTGTATAGATCTTTCACCTCTCTGGTTAGCTATATTCCTAGGGTTTTTTTTTTTTGGTTGTTGTTGTTGTTGGGTTTGTTTTTTGTTTTGTTTTTGTTTTTGTTTTTTTGTGGCAGTTGGGCCTGGGATTGTGTTCCTGAGTTCACTCTGAGCTTGACTGTTGTTGGTGTACAGGAATGCAAGTGAGTTTTACATAATGATTTTGTATCCTGAGACTTTGCTGAAGTTGTTTATCAGGTTAAGGAGCTTTTGGGCTGAGACTACTGGGTTTTCTAGTTACAGGATCATGTCATCTGCAAACAGGGATAGTTTGACTTCCTCTCTTTGTATTTAGATGCCCTTTATTATTTTCTTTTATGATTTCCCTGGCCAAGATTTCCAATACTATGTTGGATAGAAGTGGTGAGAGAGGCCATCTTTGTCTTTGGCTGGTTTTCAAGGCGAATGCTTCCAGATTTTGCCCACTCAGTATGATGTTGGCTGTAGCTTTGTCATAGAAGGCTCTTATTATTTTGCTGCATATTCCTTCAATACCTAGGATTTTTGAGAGTTTTTAACATGAAGGGGTGTCGAATTTTATTGAAAGCCTTTTCTATGTCTATTCAGATAATCATGTGGTTTTTCGTCTTTAGTTCTGTTCATGTGATGAATAACATTTATTGATGTGCATATGTTGAACCAACCTTACATCCCAGGGATAAAGCCTACTTGATCGTGGTAAATAAGCTTTTTGATGTGCTGCTCAGTTCAGTTTGCCAGTATTTTCTTGAGGATTTTTCATCAATATTCATTGATAAAAATGGCCTGAAGTTTTCTTATTTTGTTGTGTGTCTGCCAGGTTTTGGTACCAGGATGATGCTGGCCTCATAGAATGAGTTAGGGAGAAGTCCCTTCTCCTCAACTTTTTGGAATCATTTCAGCAGGAATGGTACCAGCTCTTCTTTTCACATCTGGTAGAATTCAGCTGTGAATCTGTCTGGTCCTGGGCTTTTTTTTGGTTGGTAAGATACTTATTACTGACTCAATTTCAATGATTATTACTGACTCATTACTAATCTGTCCTGGGATTCCATTTCTTCCTGGTTCAGTCTTGGGAGGGTCTAAGTGTCCAGGAACTCATCTATTTCTTCTTGATTTTCTAGTTTATGTGCATAGAGGTGTTCATAATGTTCTCTGATAGTTGTTTGTATTTCTGTGGGGTTTTGGTAATATCCCCCTTGTTGTTTCTGATTGTGTTTATTTTAATCTCCTCTCTTTTCTTCTTTATCAGTCTAGCTAGTGGTCTATTTAATTAATATTTTCAAAAAAAAATAAAACCTCCTGCATTTGTTGATCTTTTGATTGAGACATGATTTTTTGTGTCTCAATCTCCTTCAGTTCGTTTTGCTCTTGTCACCCAGGCTGGAGTACAATGGCATGATCTCAGCTCACTTCAACCGCCACCTCCCAGGTTCAAGCAATTCTCCTGCCTCAGCCTCCTGAGTAGCTGAGATTACAGGCGTCTGCCACCACACCCACCTAATTTTTATATTTTTTGTAGAGATGGGGTTTCACCATGTTGGCCAGGCTGGTCTTGAATGCCTGACCTCAGAAGATCCACCCACCTCGGCCTCCCAAAGTGCTGGGATTATAGGCATGAGCCACCACACCAGGCCTGGTTATTTCTTGTTTTCTGCTGGCTTTGGGATTTGTTTGCCCTTGGTTGTCTAGTTCTTTTAGTTCTGATATTAGGTTGTTAACTTTCTAACTTTTTAATGTGGCAGTTTAGTGTTGTAAATTTTCCTCTTAACACTGACATAGCTGTCTCCCAGAGATTCTGGTATGTTGTATCTTTGTTCTTATTCATTTGAAAGAACTTCTTGCACTTTGGGAGGCTGAGGCGGGCAGATCACGAGGTCAGGAGATTGAGACCATGGTGAAACCCCGTCTCTACTAAAAATACAAAAAATTAGCCAGGCGCGGTGGCGGGCGCCTGTAGTCCCAGCTACTCGGGAGGCTGAGGCAGGAGAATGGCGTAAACCCGGGAGGCGGAGCTTGCAGTGAGCCGAGATCGCGCCGCTGCACTCCAGCCTGGGCGACAGAGCAAAGACTCCGTGTCAGAAAAAAAAAAAAAAATCCCAGGTGGTTTCTGGGAAAAAAGATAAAATTATTATCCAAATATTGTGCCTAGAATCATGTGTCTCTCGGCCTAACACGTCAGGGGCCTAAGTTGGCATCTTCTGCCTTTCTCAAGTTCGGCTTCTTAAATTTTTATACTAAGAGCAACACGGGGTCAGATACTGTGTGATACTGTTGTTTCTCAGAGAAAAGTGAGACTCCCTTTTTTTGTCACATATTCAGAGTAATTCCACAGTGTTTTTTTGTAGAAAAAAATTATTATAGTTTTTAATCCATTCCCAGTTTGTGAGCTATTTAGCTGAAGAAAAAAAAAACTATTATTCCCCTTTGCAGCAATAAGGAGTCACAGGATGAAAACTCAGAAAAATTAAAGCATCAATAGCTGCTGCTTAGCACTCAACAGTTATTGAAAAATCCTTTTCATATACTTTCTCTGTTTTTTGTTTTTGTTTTGAGACAGGGTTTCACTCTGTTGCCCAGGTTGGAGTGCAGCTACAAGAACCCGGTTCACTGCAGTCTTGACCTCCTAGGCTCAAGCAATCCTCCCACCTCACGCTCCCAAGTAGCTGGGACTGCAGATGTATGCCACTGCGCTCAGCTAATTTTTAAAATTTTAGAGGTGGGATCTCACTATGTTGCCCAGGCTCGTCTCAAACTACCAGCCTCAAACAATCCTCCCACCTCAGCCTTCCAAAATGCTGGGATTACAGGTGTGAGCCACTGCACTCAGCCTTGCATTGCCTTTTTTTTTTTTTTTTTTTTGAGACGGAGTCTCGCTCTGTCGCCCAGGCTGGAGTGCAGTGGCGGGATCTCGGCTCACTGCAAGCTCCGCCTCCCGGGTTCACGCCATTCTCCTGCCTCAGCCTCCCAAGTAGCTGGGACTACAGGCGCCCGCCACTACGCCCGGCTAATTTTTTGTATTTTTAGTAGAGACGGGGTTTCACCATTTTAGCCGGGATGGTCTCGATGCATTGCCTTTCTTAATGCTACCAAGAACCTTAGAAGATGGAGACATAGAAATCATCGTCTCCATTTTGCATATCAGAAACTGAAGCTCAATGAAGTTACATAATTTGGCCAAAGTTACTCAAGTAGCAGTTAGTAGACTGATTGTTTTAATCTTTACACCAGCAGCAAAAATCTGAATATTCCTTTCCATATACATATTTCTTTATAAATTGTACATACATTAATATTATTAATTAACATTATTAATATGTTGAATATGTTATAAAACATACTATCAAAATGGGAATTTTAAAGGGTGAGATAAACATAAAATAACCATTATTTTTTGTTACATATTCTTTATCAATGAAATAAAAGTTTTTTCACACACAAAAAGTAGTATTCATGACATTTTTAGTACAAAAAGTATGACTCAATATGCTCTATTTTTTTGAAGAATTTTATTTAATACCTGTGATTTAGCAATATGAAATTCTGGTTCTAAATTCAGTTTATTTTGATACTTGATTTTATGGCCAGATAAATGGAAAAGCCACTCAACATTAACATATAAATATAAATAGAAGAAGTACATTGTTGATCATACTGATTAAATTGTGGAAATTATTTTCAAGTTCATCTAGTAATTATGCAATGTTTTCTCTTAAAATTCTGTTAAAAATTTCCTTCTTATCTGACCTCTGCTAATTATTCTTGCCAACTAATCAGAAGATATTAAGGTACAGCAATTTTACATTATTAACAAATAAGCTCAGACTTCCAGTTTTAGCTCTGGCAGATAAAGAGCTTGGAAGTCATTACTCTCATTTTCTCAACTAGATAAAGTTGAACCAACTGACAAATCAATGACTTTTCTTGTACCCATGAGGTAGCAGGGCAAACCACAACCCAGAAATCTCAGCTGAGATCTGCTTATCTGGACAGGAACTACTGGAGCCTTAAACTAGAAGAAACACATAAATAGTAATTTTGATGACTTAGAGGAGACAAAACATGTACTAGCTTTTGATTGAGAAAATCCTGGCAGTTGCAGTCTTAGGAGGGCCTCCTCACTTTTACATTTAGAAACCCCAACAAGCCTTCATGGTGAAGAGACAAGAAAAATCCCCTCATGGTTCTGGTAGGGACAATCATAGTAAAACACCGTCAGAGCATTCTCCATGACAAAAGCCTACTCTCCAGTTGGTGGGGGAAAGACTTGACCAGAGCTTTAAAAACCACCTGGAGGAAGGACATTTGTCTGACTTCCTGTCTTAGCTTAGAAGAGAACAAAACTATGGAACCTTTGCAAAGGTCAAAGCCCCAGAACTCAGGCCTGCTGAAAACAGAGATTTTATTAGTAGATTACAGAACACTTCCCTCGCCCTACCTTACCACCACACCAGCAAGACTCCACTAGAATAACAGTGACTTATAGCTGAAAGAGCACATTGCTATCTATGTGTTTCTGCTAGTTTAAGCCTCCAGTAGTTCCTGTCCAGACAAGCAGATCTCAGCCGAGATTTCTGGTCTTAGTCCAGATTCCATATGTTAGTCCATATTCCATGTCTTAGTCCATTCATGCTGCTATAACAAAATCTATAGACTGGGTGGTTTAAACATCAAACATTTATTTCTCACAGTTCTGGAAAGTGAGAAGTCCAAGATCAAGGAGCCAGCACATTTGCTGTCTGGTGAGGACCCAGTTCCTATTTCATGGATGGTGTTTTCTTGCTGTGTCCTCACATGGAAGAAGGGGCAAACAAGCTCCCTTGGGCCTCTTTAATAAGGCACTAGTCCCAATCATAAGGGTTCTACCCTCTTGACCTAGTCATCTTTCAAAGGCCCCCCCCTTCCTAATACCATCATATTGGGGGTTATGATTTCAACATATGAATTTGTGGGACCACAAACATTCAGACCATAGCACACAAACTCTATCTGAGGAGTATTTCTTAGGGAATCATGAAGCAGTAAAAACATAGACACTAGAGGAATTTGAGACCACTACCACCTATAGCTATAGCAAACGTTAAGTTGGGCCCAACTCCTAGCCAGATTGAAGCTGCTATGTTGCCTGGGGTATATACCCTGGGGTTCGTCATCACGCACCAGGAAAATTTAGGACATGGACACACAGGAGGAGTTTAGGAGTGGAGGTTTAATAGGCAGAAGAAAAGAGAAAGAGAAATGGGTCTCTTCATAGAGAGAGGGGTCTCCAAGTGGAAAGGACTGGCTAGCAGTGAATGGGCCAGATTTTATAGTCAGGTTTGAGGAGTCGGTGTCTGAATTACATAGGACTCACAGATTGGTTCAATCAGGTATGACCTTTACGTAGTGCACAGGGAAGGCTGGTCTCCTCACCCTAATCTTATTATGCAAATGAGCTTTCCAGTTAATCGGTGCCATCTTGTCTGCTCCTTACTGTACATGTGGCTGGCAAAGAAGGTAAGAAGGAGCCGCCCTCTTGAACACGTCTAGTCCCTCGTTCCTGCCGGTATTCACACTTGCAAGCTTCCAGCTTGCTTATCTATGTCTGCAGCTTGACTTTACAGTCATGTTCTTTGTTAGAAAATGATTTGGGGCTGCTTTTCATTAAAAAGAAAAGACTTACCCAGGACTTCTGTACCCTCACTATCTGCCTAAGTGATTTCTTCATAACTCCCATATCAAGATTACCATAAATCTTCACACGAAAGGCCTAATTACCTCAGTTCCTATTACCTTATATGTCATGCCTTGATTTCAACAACAAAAACAAATAGAAGACATGCTAAAAAGCAAATTAAAAAAAAATCTCAGATATGACATAGATTTTGGAATTATTAAGCAGAGAATTTTAAAATGCTACAATTAATATGTTAAGAGATGTAGTAAAAAAAAGTAAACAACACACAAGAACGGATGAGTAATGTGGGCAGAAAGATGAAAATTCTAAGAAAAATCAAATATATTCAAACCCACATAACAGAATCTGTTCTAATTGAGAAAACATTAAAAAAACACACAATCAAATAAGTAATGGCACCACCCTCAGCCTCTCTTTGATAGGGAGCTACTTCTCTTGTTCTAAGATTTCCTCTCATATGTAGCAAGGGACACTCTCACATATCAACCTAATGAATAAACCAGTATCAATCTATTAAATGTATATGCACCCCACTTTGGCAACAACTGCACTATAACCTAATAGCCAAGTCCCCATCTACATTGGGCAATTGATCTATGAAAGAAGAGCTAATTTATGTTCTAATTCAATTTTCCATTGAGACCCTTGGTTGAACTATGTCTTCCAATGATTGCATTTTTTTTATATAGTGAGAAATAATACTTTCCACTTAACCTGCCAGATGCCCTGAATTCATATCGAGAATCAAAAACTAGTCACAGTAAACCAGTATTTAAAAGGAGATAAATCGGCTTCATTAAGAGTCAGTTCAGGCCAGGTGTGGTGGCTCATGCCTGGAATCCCAACACTTTGGGAGGCCAAGGCGAGCAAATTACTTGAGGTCAGGAGTTCGAGACCAGCCTGGCCAACATGGAGAAACCCCATCTCTACAAAAAATTAAAAAATAAAAAATTTAGCTGAGTGTGGTGGTGTGTGCCTGTAATCCCAGCTACTCAGGAGGCTGAAGCAGGAGAATCGCTTGAACCCAGAAGGCAGAGGTTGCAGTGAGCTGAGATCACACCACTGCACTCTAGTCTGGGTGACAGAGTGAGACTTCGTCTCAAAAAATAAAGTAAAATAGTAAAAAAGAGTCAATTCACCATTCACTTAATTTGGAAATAGAGTTGTTTCCAGTTAACATTTATCCGTTATTTTAACTGATGTTAGCAGGAATGAAGGAGTCTTGGTTTTGACACTTTCTCTAGTTAATTGTGACAGTTCTATTCATCCAATATTCACCTTCCCCCCTTCACTTCCCAGCCCTCTTTAAATAAGGCAGAGCCACCTAACTAGCTCTGGCCAATGGGGTGTGAGCAGAAGTGACAGAAAGGTATGAGCTCTTCATGTACAGTCTGTTCCTTATGGTGGAACCTGTGTCAGCAGTATCCTTAAGCTTCCATGAGTAGGAGAGCCTCATACCACCTCCCTTTATACATGCAACTATACTGGATATGTAGCATAAGCAAGAAAAACACTTGTTTGATTAAGTCAACAAGATTTCCAAGTTCATTTATTATCTTAGTATAACTTGGCCAATCCTGAATGATACAGTAATCCTGAGGCAATTATGGTTCTTGTTTTCCTTTTCTGTAATAAGAAGGAAACTACAAATGCACTCTATCTGCTCCATGAGTTGTCACACAGAATGAGTTATAGGTTAATTAGTGGGTAAATCCGTTACACATGGATTGGAAAATGCACCCTAGCACTATGTAGGTGAACATTATAGTTCCTATAGACTCTATCTTTCAGAAAAACGGGATACATTTTTAGTGTAAGGATACAGATGGCCTATAATTGTCTCAATATTGGTCTAGGTCCTTCTAATCAGAATAATAAATTCTAACCTCATTTGATTTACCTCAAAGTGTTTTTGCAAATAAAGGCCTTCTATTTGGAGTTTATTTATTCTCCCTTCCTCCATGTGTACATCCATGCACATTGGCTTCTCCATGACCTGTATAACTATAAATGAATAATTAAATGAATAATAAACAATGCATTGATCATAAATATTTATTTCTTAAAACAATAAAACAATTTTGACATATCAAGACTCTGGAATGTGTTATTCTCCAATTATGGATGTGTTGGCCCTTTGCAGAAAAAGATAACTATGTGGAGAGAGATGGGAAAGTCAGCGTAGAATGGGCTCAGGCAGAACCTACCTACATATTTCTTCAGCTCTAAAACTCTGAATATTACATAAAATGTTCATGAATAATTGAAAACTAAAAGCAGAAAATGTATTGTTGAGTGACATTTTAAATGACTCACAAGTTAGTTATTTAAGTTAAAAGATAAAAAATACAATACTGGAAGCAATGTTTTGTGTTATCAGTATGATTCATTAATTTAAAAATAAGCCAATGTTCAAAAAAGAAAGCAAATCAATTTCATTTTTTCTACGTGTACAGCCTAATGACTTATAAAAACAAAAGTGATAATGTGGCCTACATATTGTGTTAGAAATATTAATAATCCAACTGTTGAAAGTGATATAAATTTGCTCAATTCTCCTACTTTAAGTAAAAGACATTACAACACAGCATGTTGAAATCTAACTAAATGATAGTATTGAAATACTGTGTTGTATGTTTTACAGCTGAACCATTGTGTCTAACACTCAGAGGTCTTTAAAAATTGTTTTATTATACTTTAAGTTCTGGGATACATGTGTAGAACATGCACATGTATTTACTATACTTAAGTATTTATTATACTTTAAATTCCAGGATACATGTGCAGAATGTGCAGGTTTGTTACATAGGTATATTATGTGCCATGGTGGTTTGCTGCATGCCTCAACCTGTCATCTACATTAGGTATTTCTCCTAATGCTATCCCTCCCCTAGCCCTCTACCCCCCAACAGGCACCAGTGTGTGATGTTCCCCTCCCTGCGTCCATGTGTTCTCATTGTTCAACTCCCACATATGAGTGAGAACATGCGGCGTTTGGTTCTCTGTTCTTGTGTTAGTTTGCTGAGAATGATGGTTACCAGTTTCATCCATGTCCTTGCAAAGGGCATGAACTCACCCTTTTTATGGCTACATAGTATTCTATGCTGTATATATGCCACATTTTCTTTATCCAGTCTGTCATTGATGGGCATTTGGGTTGGTTCCAAGTCTTTGCTATTGTGAACAGTGCTGCAATAAACATAATGTGTGCATGTGTCTTTATAGTATAATGATTTATAATCCTTTGGGTATATACCCAGTAATGGGATTGCTAGGTGAAATGGTATTTCTGGTTCTAGATCCTTGAGAAATCACCATACTGTCTTCCACAATTGTTGAACTAATTTACACTCCCACCAACAGTGTAAAAGCACTCCTATTTCTCCACATCAACTGAGAGGTCTTTTTAAACAACATTCTGGGTTTTTAAAAAGAATTTTATAAGTCACTTACTTTTCAATAATTTAACCTTTTACTTTCATACTGGGTTTTAAAGACATATAGTAAGATAAGCACTTTATAATCAATTGATTGGCTAAGTACAAAAAAATTGAAAGAAGAGAAACTTGAAATTTATAATTCTTCTGTGCCTACCTCTAAACATTAAATGTTTACCATAAACATCAGTCCTGATCACAAAGGAAATACTTTTAGCATATATTTTATATTTGATTTATCCTAAGACATGGCTTCAAGTGCCTTCTATGAATCAAGCACAGCATTTGACATTAAAGGACATAGTTTCTGACAGCACGGAGCTCACAGTCTAGTGAGGAAGACAAGGGAACAGATAACTACAATGAATGTACTGCAAGAAAAGATCCTTTGGGGAAGCTATAGAAACCCATGGGAGAGGACTAACCCAGGCTGGAATGGGCATGACTATGAAAAAGTGAGTAGGATTTAGCTAAGAGAAAGACAATGAGGACACTCTTGAGAGAGGAAAGTTTAAGTAACAATGCAGAAGAAAGTGTGTATCTTTTTAGATATATATATATATATATAAATACTTTTATTATACTTTAAATTCTAGGGTACTTGTGCACAACGTGCAGGTTTGTTACATATGTATACGTGTGCCATGTTGGTGTGCTGCACCCATTAACTCACCATTTACATTAGGATACCCAAAGGATTATAAATCATGCTGCTACAAAGACACATGCACACTTACGTTTATTGCAGCACTATTCACAACAGCAAAGACTTGGAACCAACCCAAATGTCCAACAATGATAGACTGGATTAAGAAAATGTGGCACATATACACCATGGAATACTACGCAGACATAAACAGTGATGAGTTCATGTCCTTTGTAGGGACATGGATGAAGCTGAAAACCATCATTCTCAGCAAACTATCACAAGGACAAAAAACCAAACACCGCATGTTCTCACTCATAGGAGGGAACTGAATAATGAGAACACTTGGACACAGGAAGAGAAAGTGTGTATCTTTGAGGAACTTCTAACTGCATTGAACACTGGCTATACGACTGAATCACAGGCAGTGCCACCCAATGGAACTTTTTGCATTGATGGGAATATTCGTATTGTCTTCACTCTAATACAGTAGGCTACTGTAAAGCCACTAGTCACAAGTGGCTGTAAAGTATTTTAAATGTGGTGAGTGTGACTAAGGAATAGAAATTTTAATTTTATTCTATTTTAATTTATTTTAAATGACATTGAAGCAGCCACGTATAGCCAGTGGCTATCTTACCAGCAGCACAACTCTAGATTATCAGTTGCCGAAACATGAGGCAGAACACAAGGCTCACACTTCGAAGAGTTTTATAAGCCAGGTTAAGTAGTTTGGATTTCAGACCAAAGGTAAAGAGGAGTTAGTGGTGAAGAATGTTAAGCAAGGAGGGATGTGATCAAATTCCTTTAGAAATATCACTCTGACAGCTGTGTTTAGGATGCAAGGAGGCTCAAGTCTTGAGGCGAAGACAGCAGATAAGCTTATGGTTAGAGTAATACAAATGAAAAATGAGAACTCCATTAAAGACAATGGCAGAGAGTATGAGGAGGAGGAGAGAGATGTGATTGAATGTGAGATTAAGGGACAGTAGAAAGAGACATTCTAGTGTCTGGATTACACACATAGGTGGAAGAAAGTGTCAGTCACCAACACGTGCAATAGGAGTTAAGAAAAATGTGAAGTGTTGCTCTATTTAAGTGATATTGAGTATGAATTGCCTGTGGGACAGTGAAGTAAAAAAGACATAATAAGGAGTTGGGTGAGTATGTTAGCAAATAGAGAAACAAACAAAAATAGCACCTAGACATACTTTGTTCAGTCTTTATATTAATTGGCAGAAATTTCACAAGCTGTTAACATCTTTTAACGTCAAAGAATTCAGATTTATACACATTCACTATAAAATATTATTAAAGGCAATGCAATCAGATTCATAAAGTGCTTGTAAGCTTCACTTTAAACATCAATTATCATTATGTAATGTTTTGAAAAGTATCTTATTTATTTAATCTTTTGGATTAGTTATATTTTGGATCGACTTGAAATTAGTGATTTCTCAGATATGAAATTAGGGTGTCTTTCCAAACTTTCCAAAGGTGCATTTCTGGTGATGGATGATATTCTACATCAAATAGGTTTAATTTTAGAATAAGATGAATGTTCTTTACTAGCCAATGAGATAAATGTTTGCTTTCTAAAAAAAAAAAAAAAAAAAAAAACCTTTCTCTCATAAAAGAAAAAGAAAAAAAAAGCTTTTATTATTTCAGAACACATTCTGGAAATTGACTTAAATCCATTATTCAGGTTTCTACAGAGAATTATGGCTCATCTCAAGATATACAAAAGTTATAAAATAGAAAATATCATCTCAAATCTACACAATAACTATTTTTGGGTCCTCAATCCACATCTGACCTCTAAAAATAAATCTTCCTGAGAAAGTATAGTCCACTAAATACATTCCCATTTTAGTCACAAATAGTAGTATGATCACTGGTTCCAAGTGCCTCTTTGGGACCTGGATGTTCCTCCAGTGATTTGTATACGTCTTTGTAATTTTCACTCTGAATATCTAGTTCCTTTTTGTGGTTCCTTTAAAAATATAACACACATCTTCAAACTACAACCTGGCTGTACCCTAAAACTTTGTCTGGGTAGGCCGTGTGGCACCCAGAATATATGTTTGCCATAGAAAGAGTGTTGTAAATGTTGGAGAGGTTCCCAGGTAACACACAAACGCCTATCAGCCCTGTGGATGGAGCTAATGGCACTGCAGAATCTTAGGCTTTAGGACATAAGTTGTTCAAGACTCTGAGACCTGGAAGGCAGGAGTGATGAAAAACCTGGGGAAGGGCTATACATTGAAGAGGAAGAAGAAACATATGCTGAATGGTGCCAGGAAAAAGGACAAGGGCTGAGATTGTAAGAAATGTTTTTTTAAAAAAGCAAACAAACAAACAAAATACTTTTGAAATGAGGAAGAGGGAGAGAGAAAAAGATGGGGGGAGAAAGGCTATATTACAGTTTGATGTTGTTTTCTATTTTGCTTTCACTCTAACCCTCTAGTGGTTAGTGAAGGAGGAAATCAAGAGCAAGGCAGAAGCAAAAGGTGAAGGGGAGCTTTCTCTGTCTTTTCCCTTCCCCTCTCCTTCCAAGAATTAGCTCCTTCCAGCCATACTCATATTCCACCCCCAACATGATGGCCACATCATGTTGAGATAAAAGACTGTATACAAATTTTTAAAACTTCAAAAAAACAAAGGCTACCCAGTGAACTGTTTTATATAGATAATTATAATATTGGTCACTGTCTTTTGGAACAATTGCCTGCTGTGGTCACACAGCTGTAATGAAGAGATCACGCTGTGAAGTGAAAAGTCTCCTTTTCCTCTGGGATTAGATACATATTTGCCTTCTTCTAGAAAGGTTTCGGAACACAGGGAGGAGAGAAACAGCGGTAAGGAGCAGCAGAAGAAATTGTCTTGATCTCCCGTTTTGCTAGACTGGAGAAAAGGTGCTTTTACAGGAAACTCGGTTTGCAAACACTGAACATCTTTTGTGTTTCTTGTTGGCAAAGCAATTGATTCTAGTTAGAGATTGGCTGGGTGCCACCGTGTAACCAGTTTGTCTTTTCTGTTCTGAAAAGTATAGTAGGAAGAGCTACAATTGAGGCTTCTTTTTTTCTTTTCTTATTATAGTCTGTTTATACCATTTTTTTTTTTTGCCTACTACCGCTTCTGCCATGAACAACTGCACGCGATTCCACAACTGCACCCGATTCCTAAGTCACATTTCATAATACTTTAAAAAAAAATAACAAAAATATACCTTTCGAGACATTTTAAAAAATAAGTGGGAGAAGACAGTTTTTATACCAGTATGCCTGCCTCCCTAATGTGATTCTTTTACCTTTCCCTCCTGAGAAAGAAACCAAAGCCAAACCCTTGTGCTATAAGCAGAAAAGGTAACAGAGGGTGTATTGAAACTCGGTAATGCTAACACAAAGATGGACTACACTGTGAGCGTGGCACTTAAGGAGCCGAGAACAGCTGCGGCAACCATTACTTTTCTATTTAATTTCTTTCATAGATATAAACATTGTAACACTCAGTTCTATTTAAATATCAATTCAGTTTTATTAAGAAAGGAATGAACATCTACTATTGATACTTTATTTATTAGCTCCTGTCTGCCCTCTGTTTAAAAAAGTTTGGATACTTTTATCAGGGAAAGTATTATTCAAACGATTTCATGGTAAACATTAATAATTGGCTTTGGTGTAATTGACACTTTGAAAGCACCAGTAGTTGAGGAACTTGCAGAAAAGCCATGGAGGCGCTGAGGCCTCAGAAGCGCATCTCTCCTCCCCTCACAAAGCGGGCTACAATGGTGGCAGGGAGGGGATGGGTGAATCCACTCCCTTGAGGCAACTGCATTCTCATTAGCAAGCTGTGATTTGGGACTGATTCTGAGCAACATCTATTGTGAGTATGTACTTGTGTGTCTGGGCTTGGGTTTGGAAGACAAAGCCCATGCCAAGAAAGCAGGTCAAGGAGGTAAGCCCTTCCCCTAGAACCAGGAAGAGAGAGGCCTTTTGTTTGCTGTCACACATTGAAGAAGGCTTAACTGACTCTCCTTCACGATAGTGAAACAGGTTCTGCAAAATACTCATCCAAACTTATTCTTCAAAAGGCAATATCTAGCATGAAATCCAAGCAAGAAGCCAAGCAGAAAAAGCCTTGATTGTTGTTGCATGGATTAATTGCTCTCAATGCCGAAGGTGAAAGGAGATACCTTCATTTTAGCAAATGTCTTGTTGGCAACAGAAGAATCTGTTAAAGGGTTAACATTTAAGTGTATTTTATTAAAATGTCACAGAATATTTTAAAAATATACTACTAATCAAAAGAGTTTTTCACTAGAAGGTTATCAGGTCATTTTTGCATCTTAATCAATTTTAAGTTTGAAAAACATAGTGACCCTACCACATTAAGCTGAAAAACTAAACTATTTAGTAATACACATTAGTGAAACATTCTTGACAGAAAAACTAACCTTTAAAAACTAAACAGTGTGGCTAGGTGCGGTGGCTCACACATGTAATCCCAGCACTTTGGGAGGCCAAGGCGGGCAGATCACGAGGTCAGGAGTTCAAGACCAGCCTGACCAACATGGTGAAGCCCCATCTCTATTAAAAATACAAAAATTAGCCAGGCATGGTGGCAGGCACTTGTAATCCCAGCTACTCAGGAGGCTGAGGCAAGAGAATCACTTGAACCTGGGAGGTGGAGGTTGCAGTGAGCCAAGATCGTGCCATTGGACTCTAGCCTGGGCAACAGAGCGAGACTCCATCTCAAAAATGACTAACTAACTAAATAAATAAACAGTGTGTGTTGTTCCCCTCCTTGTGTCCATGTGTTCTCATTGTTCACCTCCCACCATGAGAACATGTGGTGTTTGGTTTTCGGTTCCTGCATTAGGTTGCTGAGGATAATGGCTTCCAGCTCCATCCATGTCCCTGCAAAGGACATGATCTCATTCCTTTTTATGGCTGGATAGTATTCCATGGTGTATATGTACCACACTTACCTGGAACTTAAAATAAAAATAAAAATAAAAAAACTACACACATAAACTCAAAAATGCTTTATATTGTGATGGTAATAACCCCAGTGTTTGGAAACAAGTTTAAGGCAAAAACATGAAGTCACATTTTTGAGTCAAAGTTTATTTTTCACTAGGAAAACTGTAAGCTAAAGGAATTAATAAATTATTTTAAATAATTAAGGTTGGCACGGTGGCTCACGCCTGTAATTCCAGCAATTTGGGAGCCCAAGGTGGGTGAATCGCTTGAGTTCAAGAGTTCAAGACCAGCCTGGGCAACATGGCAAACCTCATCTCTACAAAAAATACAAAAATTAGCCAGGAGTGGTGGTGCATGTGGGCAGTCTCAGCTACTTGAGAGGCTGAGGTGGGAAGATAGTTTGACCCCGGGGGGGTGGAGGTTACATTGAGCCAAGATTGTGCCATTCCACTCCAGCCTGGGTGACAGAGCGGGACCCTGTCTCAAACTAACGAACTAACAAAAATTAACAGAGTGGTAACGTCATAATTAGGACTACTTACGAGTAATTGATAGTGAAGATTATTGATTTTTTATTTCATTTATCTACTATATGGTCATGCAGAAAGCATATTCTAGTATATTTCATTTTAAAGGTTGGTTTATTTTTATTATAAAGAAATGCATGCTCATCAATAAAAGGAAATAAACCAGGTAAAAAATGACCCATAATTTTGGCATTTAAAAACAATCTCTATTAGCATTTTGATCTATTTCCTTTTGATTTTATTTCTTTATAGGTATATATTTGTACATATTTATAATATATTCATCCAAATACATACAAAATTTTGTTTCCTGCTTTTTAGGTTTTTTATACCTGCTTTTTCTTTAAACATTTGTATGCATTTAATAAGACATTTCTCTTTTGCTGATGATAAAGGACTATGGGAGGTTATATTTAAAAGATTAAGATCACCATTAATTTGCTGACAGTGGAGATAACTACATCTTGGTGTATATCCTTTTCATTTGTGGTTTATGCAAATCTATCCATTCATTCATTCAGATATATTTTTGGAGGAGCTGTTATGTTCTAGGCTGTCTCTTGTGTCAGGAATACAGTAGTGAATGAAACAAAGATCTTTGCTCTCATGGAGCTTACATTCTAGGTAAAGGAAACAGAAAATAAAGAAGTAAAATATTCAGTTTGTGAACAATGATAAGTCCTATGGAGGAAAAGAAATCAGGAAAAGGACGTGAGATGAGCAGGATGATTTGCCATTGAAATAAGGTAGTAAAGGAAGGACTCAATGAGACTAAGACATTTGAGCTAAGACAGAAAAGACGTGAAGAAGTAAGAAGACTGAACATCTTACAGAAAGAAGAGTAAGTGCAAAGGTCCTGAGGTAGGAGTGTGACCAGTGAATTCTGGAAAAAGCAGAAGGCTACAAGCAGATATAATGGAGAGTACAAAGGCAAGACTCCAAAAGGTATAGCGAGTGAGACTCTTCCTTTTCTCTGCATGAGATGAGAGGCCAATGGAGAATGTTGAGTAAAGAACTGACCTGATCTAGTTTACGTTTTAAACAGTCTATTCTGGAATTTGTGTTGAGAAAAGCTACAGAGGGATAAAGAGGATCAGTAGGAGATTATTGCAATCATCCTTGTGTGAGAGATGGTGGCTTAGACTAGAGAATTAAGAGTAACAGTGGGCCAGGCGCAGTGGCTGACACCTGTAATCCCAGCACTTTGGGAGGCCAAGGCGTGCAGATCACGAGGTCAGGAGATCGAGACCATTCTGGCTAACACAGTGAAACCCCTTCTCTACTAAAAATACAAAAAATTAGCCGAGGGTGGTGGCGGGCGCCTGTAGTCAGTCCCAGCTACTTGGGAGGCTGAGGCAGGAGAATGGCATGAACCTGGGAGGCGGAGCTTGCAGTGAGCCAAGATCGCACCACTGCACTCCAGCCTGGGCGAGAAAACGAGACTCCGTCTCAAAAAACAAAAAAAAAAGAGTAACAGTGATATAAAGAGTTTGCATGTCTCTGGAAGATTCAGACAAGATTTGCCGACGTAGGGTGTGAGAAAAAGTGAAACGTTAAAGGTGAGCCCACCTTTAGTCTGAGCATGTGTTAGGATGTAGTTGCATTTACAGATGCTCCTCAGTTTAGGATAGGGTTAAATCCTAATAAACCCATACTAAGTTGAAAATATCCTAAGTAAAAAATGCATTTAATACACCTAACCCACCAAGCATCATAGCTTAGCCTAGCCTCCCATAAACGTGCTCAGAGATTTACATTAGCCCACAGTTGGGCAAAATCACCTGTCACCAGAGTCCACTGTAGAATGTCGAGTGTTTACCCTCGTGACCGTATGAGGAGCTGTCACTGCCCAGCATCGCGAGGGTGTCATACCACACATCACTAGCCTTGGTGATATGGGAAAATATTACAATTCCAAATTCAAAGTATGATTTCTACGATGTATCACTTTCACACCATTGTAAAGTAAAAAAAATTGTAAATCAAATATGTAAGTTAGAGACAGTCTGTACTAAGTTGAGGAAGACTAATAGAGGAACAGCTTCGTTGGGAGAGACAAGGAATTTAGCTTTAGACATTGAGTTAAATGGGATATGTGAATCTACAAGTGAAGGGAGTAGTCCAGTCTAGAGATAGTTGTTAGAATATTTATGATATTTAAAGCCATGTGATAGGATGAGATCATGAGAGGAGTGGCAGGGGAGGAGATTGACTCGGGCAGAGAAAAGAGAGTTTTACAAGAGTGATTAACAAGACAAAATCTGGTAGACCAGTCAAAGAAAATTTTATTCAATCACAGGCTATCCTAAAGAATGAATAATCTTGTGACTTTGGATTTTAAAATTTTAAGTGGACTTTTCAGAAAATAACCCTGGCTTCTAAGTTGTCTAGATAATATAGCAACAAATATGGTATGCAGACCTCTGAAACCACCTAAAATAGTACATTGGGGAATGGAAAGAAAGCATTAGAGTCTACGGCCATACCACCCTGAATGCCCCCGATCTTCTCTGATCTCAGAAGCTAAGCAGGGTTGGGCCTGGTTAGTACTTGGTATGGGAGAAAGCATTAGACATCAATCTTGTAAGAATTTAAAGTTCAATAGATTATTATAGTATATATTTTTTTGAATTGACAATAATACGTGAACATGTGTATGTACATCTAAAAACATTTTTAGAGGTGGGAGATGAATGCTTGTAAAACACTGTACTGTAGTGAAAGAATTGGCAGAAAGCTGAAAAGGCCTTTTTGCTCATTAGTTGTGTTATGGTTGATCTAGAATCAACCTGTGTTTGGATATATCCTTGTATATGAGTAAAAAGGCCACTAAGTGACCAACTGCTTGGCTCCAGTTAAGATAGGCTCTATAATGCCAGCTCTAATGTTCTTGTCCAGCACACTCACGCTGGAGGCCCTGAGGTCCTAGTGGCTGCTCAGCATCCACTCCTGCCACCTACACTCATGATAGTAGCATGCAGAGCTGCGCTGGGCCTCAGCCACAGCAGCCAGAGGAATATTGGTTGCATGGTGAAATCGGAGGGCTTGAGAATATTGCCCTGCTTCCTTTGTTCTGTTTTTCTGCAATTATTTTATCTGAGAGAGACCCTCTGGGGTTCCTGCATTTGTCCTCTGAGGAGGGGCCCCAGCACAGCAAAGTCTGGAGGCTGCTTAAAAACCCTGCGTGTGGCACTGTGATCATTTCTCGTCATTTATTTTTGCTGAAGCTATGTACCTTTGATTAAACCTGGCATGGCACTTTAGAAGTCACTGATACACATCAAAGAAGTTAGCGCTCCTAGATCAAAATAGACTGAAGGTTTGGACCTGAACCAGCGCTACTTGAACACTAAGAACAGACCACAGCAGGAGGCAATTGCTTTTGGACAAGAATCAGGAAATAACCAAATGGATTTCCTCTATTTCTTCCTTCATTAGCAGCATGGCAAATGCCTTCACCCTTTTAGAAGAGAAATCTTTATTGGATTTTTATCCATAAATCAGTTTGGGGGTAAAATTCGAGGTGGAAAACTTAAAGAACTTCCTAAACTGTAAAAGTTTGTAATAAAGATGAACACAATTTATGCTGGATGAATGGGATAAATACCCCAATTTTTCTTTTTATTTTATATGCAGTTGTTGATAGAGCTCAAAGGCATTTGAAGAATGTAGATTTACTTTGTTTCCATTTGGTGATCTGGGAACAATTAAAAAGATCACACAGATCGATCAAGTGGAAAAATTATACATGTCGATATGCCTTTGAGGAGTTTTTTCCAAAGACATTTTGAGAGAATGGAGGAATTTCATTTTTATATAATCTCTCCTCAAAGGTGAGTACTTGACTTGTAATAGACATCCAATAAGTATTTGCATAAATTATTTTAAATGCTAATTTCTAAATCATATCTAATATAAATAAATTTATTAAACAGATCATAAATCATCTATTTAAAAATAAACTCAGTTGAGTTGGTAGAAGGATAAGAATAATTACTAGAGCAAGACATCCAATAACCAGTAATTCCATTCTGACTTTTTTAACAATGAGATTTCTAAGTGCTGAGATTAACAACCTCATTTGTTATTCACAATAGTTCTGTGATGTAACTATGTTATTGATCCCTTTCTACAGACAAAGCCATTGAGGCTTTGAGAGTAAATTAATGCTCCTATGATCAATCAACTATTTATAGCAGTCCATTGGCAAACTTTTTCTGTAAAGGACCAGATAGTAAATATTTTAGGCTTTCTTGCACCATACAGTTGTTACAACTACTCACCTCTGCTGTTGTAGCATGTGAACAACCATAGCCCATACATAAATAAATGACTGTGGCTGTATTCCAGTGAAACTTTAATTGTGGGTTGAATTTTGAATTTTCTATAATTTTCCTGTCATGAAATATTATTATTCAATTGATTTTTTCCCGGATCATTTAAAAATGTAAAACACATTCTTATTTCACAGGTTGCACCAAAAGAGGTGGTGAGCTGGATTTGGTGCACAGGCAGTAGTTTACCAAGCCCTGATAGAAGGGGCAGGCTCAGGAGTTAAACTTAGATTTTCTACCACAGTCCATGTTCTTTCCACTACACCATATGGATTTGTTTCATAATTGAGGAGAGGCCCTAGTCAGAGGCTTGAAATCTGGAGAGTTTTAACTGCTGTTCCTACTTTTAAAATTAAGTATAAGACTCAAACATTTTAAGCTTCTGCATCCAAAAAGAAAGATAGAGTAATCACCGGCAGTAGAGTAATTACCAAAGAGAGAGCCAATAGCAAGCCCAGCGAACACTTCATTGTCAGCTAGAGGGTTTGGCTAAAAGTAAATTTAATACTCATTAAGAAATGAACATTGCTTTAATGCCACTTCAGAGGCTGGTAAATTGTAGCTAGCTCTAAGCAATTCAGGAAGCTGGCCCATTACTTTAAGGCTGACATGTACTTACAAACAAAACCTTCAGAAGGCAGGAAGATCGGGAGAAGCCCCATAGTGGAAAGATGAAGTGTCCCCTGAAACAGCCCAGACCTGGAATTCTACCCCTTGCAAAGGCTTATAGGCATGGTCATAAGTAGAACAGGGAGTGGGTGTTGATTGTACTGAAAATATGGCACACAAACTCCATAAAGTACAGCCCCACAGAGGAAAGGTTTTGAGAATTGCACCTGTCTATGAAAATAGTGATTAAAAACACACTCTTATCAAGGTACATTTCATCATTTTTATATTTGTTTTCTTCCTCCCATATCATGATTTATTACAACCCCTCTGAAGCATGAAGCTGAAATTTGTCTCCTTAAACCTCTCTTCCCTGAGTGATTTTGTTGGGATAGAGTGGTTCCTAAGAGCTTAGCAATTGCTGGTGTGCTATGGAATAAAACTGTCAGAGTGATTTAAAAATGCATATTGCAGAAAATAGGAAAATACATTTGAAAAACCTTGTCATTTCGGCTTCTATAGAAAACAAAGGCAATGAGGGAGAGAGTTCAAAATAATAAAAAAGGCTTTGTTAATTGTGAGGCATTTACAACCTCAAAATCACGTCATAGTGCCATGGGAACTAGCAGGTATCCAAGTGTCTCAGATCTAAAATAACAGGTGCTAATTGCCCAAGTGATAGATGACTTTAGTGAAATGTACTTAGATAAGTAAATTAGCGAATAAAAGAAGGCAATGAGTGACTGACTACATACATGTACTTACATACACTTTTTGGGATACTTTGGATTTTTTTTTAATTTTGGAATGCAAGGAGTTAATCATCTTGCATATTCCCCATTTCCTTTTGTTCTGGCTCTTCTATGACATTATGAAATTAAAATGTAGAAATTAACCCAAAATGCTGGCGTTGTCTTTAAATTGCTTTTAGTATTCTATTTGCCTAAAAGCTATACTTGATGAGCTTCCTCATCTATGGGTTTGGTAGGTGCAACATATGAGCTTGTGGGAAAATATTTCATCAGAATAGCATTAATATATCTTTGCTCATAATGGATATTCTCTGCTGCACTACCCTTTGTAAGGAAAATGCATACTCATGCAGTATTGTGAATGGATAAAGGAAGAGAGGAAGGATTCTATGCAGAAGAGAGATGATTTTACTCCTGCCACTTAGATAGATAGGTACAGAGATAGATATTTAAGTGCGTCCTTCAAGCATATAGACAGATATTTAAAATTTTATAGACAAGTTCTTGCCAACCTTTTTTTTTTTTAAGATGGAGTCCCACTCTGTCACCCACGCTGGAGTGCAGTGGTGCGATCTCAGCTCACTGCAACCTCCACCTCCTGGTTCAAGCAATTCCCCCACCTCAGCACCCCCTAGTAGCTGGGATTACAGGCGTGCGTCACCAAGCCTGGCTAATTTTTGTATTTTTTGTAGAGACGGGGTTTCACCACGTTGGCTAGGCTGGTCTCAAACTCCTGACCTCTGATGATCCCCCCCGACTCGGCCTCCCAAAGTGCTGGGATTACAGGCGTGAGCCACCACGCCTGGCCGCCAACCTCTTTTTAATGAAACATATAGTGAGTGTTTATTTGTGATAACACTGTGGCAAACCGCAAGGAGTGTGAAAACAGTTATTTGGAATTTGGTATAAAATATTATTTTATTTTACTGACATTGTAAAATTTTGGTAAGAAAAAGAAAATGCAACATATTAGGAAAGATATAGATTATTTCTAAAATGAAACTTCAAACACTTAAAGAGAAATTTGAGCCTGCTTTTATAATACTAGGTTTTAAGGTTGAAATGGTTCTACATGATTCCTAGCCAAGGTGTCACAATGATGATTTCCTCAGATTTTCAGTATTTGCTCTCTGAAATATTTCCATGTAAGTAAATAGTGTATATTTTAAACATTTCTGAAACCATTCAGTCATTTACAATAATTGATTTTTTTAATCTAATAATTCTTCCTTTTCTTATTTATCAGCTACATTATTGAAATTTTCCTAAGATAATGTATTTGGACTTTAAGCCCAAGTGAATTTTTTTTCATATTAAATGTTCCAGAAATAATGATGAAGTTTCAATCTGCAAAGCATGCATACATTTGCTAGGACAGCCACCTGGCAGCTAGCTCGTATGCTGCTAAAGAGCAGATCCAGCAAATGAACATCAAGTATATAATTTATGTAAAGGTAAGGATTCAGGGGCTGTGTAGCAATACATTCACTGTAGCTCCCCTCCTCTCATCCCTGATTTCCCACCCTCTACCTACAGGATTCCTTTGGGCTGAGTGCCACGTACTCTGTCTGTGCACTTTGTACATGAAATCTAGGAGGCCTTGTACCCTGGTTAATAGTGGGCTACCACAGACACTGCAGCTGGTATGAATACATATGTCCAGGTGCTTAATCATCTCCTTGGCTATGCTCAGCTGTCATGGTAGACTGGAATGATGGATGTTGCTCATGATCTTCTTTACAGTGGGGCTTTTCTGGTGGGCCTGTAAAGTGTTCCATTGGAGGGTCCAAGAATACAAGGAAGAACCTGCATGTGCTTAACCAGACCAGCCCAGGGCTCCATCTATATACTCTAGCTTCTTGACTTCCTAACCAAATGGACCAATGTCTAGCCTTAGAACACCCTTTTCTGTCCACAGACAAACCTGGGACTCTGAGGGTCTAGAAGCCACCTGACAGAGTCTCTGTAGAAGAGATGTGCTTCCAGCCAGTGTTAATGGGAAAGGAAGGGTTTCCTGTGCAGCCCGCAGACCAGGACCTTTTTTTGTGCAGGACAGGTCAACTCCTTTCCAGCAATTACACCTCACACTTACGCCAACTGACCACAATCTCAACCAGCGAAGCTTTAGTTACTTATTCCTGAGATTTCTCACCTGCCTGTCCCAAGCATGAGGCAATTGTAAAAAGAGAAAAACAGAGCTTGGTCAACATCAGATATACAACTCAAAGAACTAAATATTAGTTTTTGCTTTACAGGTAAATACATGTTAATGTTAAAAAATTCTCTTGAAAAAAAATTTTTATCTTACTGTCATAAAAACTGTGATCTTGGTGAAATCACTGAATGATAAAGAACTTTAAAAATGTTTCTGAAATAAATCACATCTCTTGCATAGATTTTGCTTTATCCTGAGATTTTTTTCAAAGAAATTTTACTTTGACCTTGGTTAACATGTTAGGATTGGCATTAAAAATATACGTTTTTCATGAGATAAAAATTAGATCACTAGTACTTCCAATTTTTAGTGTTTTCAAAATAATCATTAATATATGTAAATTACTTGTTAAAATGGTCCCCGTTCCTTAAGTTATCTAAACACCTAAATAGTTTGGTAGTAGAAAATTTAAGGTCATTTGTAAAGTATAAGATTTGAGGTACAATTCTATGAGACCAGGACAATTCACAGGCAACAAATCAAGCATTACAAACCTGATATATTTAGACAGCTACTTGTCATGTCTGGGTAGACATCACAGGTACCGTGGAAAACAGCAGAAAGAGCCACGACTACAAGGCTATGTTCTAGTTATTTGGTTACATAGATACAGCCATGGTCTAGCAATTTAAGCGGTAGTATTTAATAAAAGAGAAAGTAAATTAAAAATAAGTTGTATTGATAAATGTGATTAACTCAATTTAAATTTCAAGGCTTTAATATTTTAATAGGCTTAGTCTTTTGTTCTTAGTCACATGCATAATTACTTTTCCTCATGCTTTTGATTTAGTGACAGAAAAATCTGAATAATCTTTGTAGAAAAATATACAGTGGGAAAAACTGATCTAAATGAGAATAAATGTTGCCAAAGTCTTGTGGTTACATTGTATATGACCAAGTGCAAAAACAAACCATTATAATCTCACTGATTGTGGTTAAAAATAAATATCTCATTTCCTCTAAGTATGATGAAGCAAGAGAATGTTTATCTAGTTAGTTTTTAACTCTAATAGTTTATGTCAAAATTGAAACAGGAAAAAAAATTTCCAGCATATAAATCCCAGGATATAGGCTGGCTGCCACACAACTCTTTGTTTTCTCCCATTTTCTTAAGCACAGGATACGCTCAAATTCCACAGAACAGGCAAAATTCAATGGCTTCATGAGTAGTCTTTGAGAACATACTTCAATGGTTTATCATTGTCAAATTCAAAGTTCTCAAAAAAGCATATCAGAGTCACCAGGAGATGTCAAATTCAAAGGTTCTCAATAAAAGCACATCAGAATTACCAGGACAATAGCTTCCAAATACATATTTCACAAAAGATAAATTATGCAAATCAATAAATAGTAAACTTACCTCCAATCCACTCTAGTTTGGTGACCTATTAAACTCAAAAAGACCAATACAGGAACGCTCTCTATGCAGGTATGTTCTGAGATTGTGTGTGTGTGTGTGTGTCTGTGCACGTGTGATGTGACACACATACATATACCAGCTTCTGCAGAGATCCCAGACCCTGCCTTTATGCAGAAGGCATGGTTAGAATGGGGATTTGCCAAACACACTTTCTTCTGCTTCCTGGTTGTGTGATCATCACTCTGGCCATGTTTCCCTCTCATTCTGCCATGGAGCGTATAAGAGCCCAGATTGGCAAAGACAGAACCAGCACTTGCCCATAATAATTTGGGAAATTCTGTGGCCTCATTCAGAAACCTTCAAACATTCATGGGTTTTGGTAGCCCAGAGGGCGGAGTATAGGAAGGGGCCAAGATTTCTCTGTTTTCCCTGGAAACATGGATGTCTAAATATCAGAAATGGCAATACTGTCTTAATAATACCTCCTGTTCATGGACAAATTCTGTAAATTTTTATTTGTCAGGATAAGTACAGTCTATGAATAATTAATTATTATGCAGTTATTCTTTCCTGTTTTTTTTTTTTTTTTTTCTTTTTCCTTTTCTTCTAACCTAACACTCTCCGCCAGGGAAATCAATCACACTAAACATTTACTAACAGGATCTCCCACTTTGGCTACACATTGGGATCACCTAGAGAGCTTGTTAATATACTGGTAGTTGGGTCCTACTCCTGGAAGTTTTACTTTGATTGGTCTGGGATGGACCTGGGCATCTGGATTTTTTTATATCACCAAGGACCTTTTCTTTAACTTTTATTTTAGGTTCAGGGGTCCAAGTGCAAATTTGAAATACAGGGAAATTGCATGTCACAGGGGTTTGGTGTACAGATTTTATTTTGTCACCCCCTGGTAATAAGCATAATCCCCAATAACCAAGGAGGTGAAAGGCCTCTACAAGGATATTTACAAAACACTATTCAAAGGAATTAAAGATGGCAGGTAGTTTTTCGATCCTTACCCTCCTCCCATGTTCCACCCTCAAGTAGGCCCCAGTGGATGTAGTTCCCTTCTTTGTGTCTATGTGTACTCAAATTTTAGCTCCCACTTATAAGTGAGAACATGCAGTATTTGGTTTTCCGTTCCTGTATTAGTTTGCTTAGGATAATGGCCTCCAGCTCCATCCATGTTGCTGCCAAGGACATGATCTCATTCTTTTTTATGGCTGCATAGTATTCCATGGTATATATGTACCATCTTTTTAAAATCCAGTCTACCATTGATGGGCATTTAGGTTGATTCCATGTCTTTGCTATTGCGAACAGTGCTGCAATGAACATATGTGTGCATGTGTCTTTTTGTGGTAGAATGATTTACATTCTTTTAGGTATATACTCAACAATGGGATTCCTGGGTCCAATAGTAATTCTGTTTTAAGTTCTTTGAGAAATCAACAAACTGCTTTCTACGACAGCTGAACTTTACATTACCACCAGCAGTGTATAAGCATTCCTTTTTCTCTACAACCTCGCCAGCATCTGTTATTTTAATAATCGCCATTCTGACTGATATGAAATTATTTGTATTTCTCTAATAATTAGTGATCTTGAGCATTCTCAACAAACTAGGCATGAAGGAACATACTTCAAAATAATGAGTCATCTATGACAAACCCACAGCCAACCTCATATTGAATGGAAAAAAGCTGGAAGCATTTACCCTGAAAACCAGCTTGAGGCAAGGATGCCCACTCCTGCCACTCCTATCCAACACAGTACTGGAAATACTAACCAGAGCATTCAGGAAAGAGAAAGAAATAAGGGCATCCAAATAGGAAAAGAGAAAGTCAAACTATCCCTGTTTGCGAACAATATGATTCTATGCCTAGAAAGCCCCATAGTCTCAGCTCCCTGATCCGATAAACAACTTCAGCAAAGTTTTAGGATATAAAATCCAGGTACGAAAATCACTAGCATTCCTATACACCAACGTCCAAGCTGACAGCCAAATCAATAATGCAATCCCACTCACAATAACCACAAAAAGAATAAAATACCTAGGAATATAGCTATCCAAGGAGGTGAAAGACCTCTACGACAAGAATTATAAAATACTGCTCAAAGGAATCAGAAATGGCACAAACAAATGCAAAAATATTCCATGCTCACAGATAGGAAGAATCAATATTATTAAAGTGGCCATACTGCCCAAAGCAGTTTACAAATTCAATGCTATTTCTATAAACTATCAATGACATCCTCCAGATAATTAGAAAAAAACTATTTTAAAATTCCAATGGAACAAAAAAAAAAAGAGCCCAAAAGCCAAGCCAATCCTAAGCAAAAAGAACAGAGCTGGAGGCATCACATTATCCCACATCGAACTATACTACAAGACTACAGTCACCAAAACAGCATGGTACTGGTACAAAAACAGACTCATAGACCAATAAAATAGAATAGAGAGTCCAGAAACAAAGCCATACACCTACAGCCATCTGATCTTCAACAAAATTAACAAAAATAAACAATGAGGAAAGACTCCCTATTCAAAAAATGGTTCTGGGATAACTGGCTAGCCATACGCAGAAGACTGAAACTGGATTTCTTTCTTACACCATATACAGAAATCAACTCAAGATGGATTAAAGACTTAAATGTAAAATCTAAAAACTATATTAAAAAAACCCTGAAAGACAACCATTCTGGACATAAGACCTGGCAAAGATTTTATGATGAAGATGCCAAAGCAATTGCAACAAAAATTGACAAATGGGATCTAACTAAATTATAGAGCTTCTGCACAGCAAAGAGTAAACAGACAACCTAAACACAGGAGAAAATATTTGCAAACTATGCATCCAACAAAGGTTTAGTGTCCAGAAGGAACTTAAATTTACAAGCAAAAAAAAATTATTAAAAAGTGGGCAGGAGACATGAACAGACATTTTTCAAAAGAAACATGTATGTGGCCAACAGCATATTTAAGAAAGCACCTGAATTTTAAAAAGCTTTCTAAGTAATTCTACTGCAAAGCCAAGATTGAGAATCACTGTGCTACAGAGAAAATATTCTGTCTGGGAGTGCAACAAGTTTTTTTTTTTTTTTAAGTGAGTAAATCAACATGATCCTGCATTCTATTTCTGAAAAAAAAAAAAAAAAAAAGACACCTATTGCTCTAGGGGTAAATGATGGCCTAGTCACCTTAATTTAGAATTTGCAGCTTTGTTCACTGTTTTACAGTCTCCATGTTATTAATTTTCTGTTTCATAAACCTGACAAACATAATTGTTAATTACATACCTTACACTCCACCCTCACAGCAATGGTTTCTCTCAGAACCCTCATCTGATATAAAGCTATAGTACAATGCCCCACTATATTAAATTTCAATTTAATTATCTTTATTACAGCATCACCTCCTTGGAGGAAATTATTAACTCTGAGATGAGCTTATAATAACAGAGAAAGGTAATGCAGGGAGCCTTGCCCTAAAGCCTTGTGCTATATATAGGCTACAGTTACAGGCTCAAGAGCAACAATAAAATGGTTGAAAAAGAAGCTACTCTGCCATATCCTCGGCTCCCTGTGATGTGATCCCTCAAAGGTCCCTAGTGGCACACACAAAGCGAATGGCATGAGAAATAGGTCACACACACACACACACACACACACACACACACACAAATGCACAAGTCATTTGTGTGTGTGTGCGTGCACACTTTAGTTGAAAGCAGAGAATAATTCGCAAATAATTAGCCCAGGTGAGACCAGGAAGCTGTCCATGGACAGTACACATTCATTACACCATAGTTAATCTTTTAAGAGTTAAACTTTACTTAGCACCATGTACTTTAAAAAAAAAAAAAGCTTAGGGTGTTTTGCCTTAAAACATTACTTGAAGTGACTTTCAATGACTCTCTTTAAACTTGGTTTGAAAATTAAAAGAGCTAGAAGCCAGCAAGCTTCCCAAAAGTAATTAAGTCCCTAAATTAACACTAAGGGGCTTGAATCCCATGCAACTATGGTATTAGGTGACTGAGAAAAAATGAACTAGAAAATGGGATCACAGAGCTTTGAGACTGTGTTATTGAAGCAAAATAATAAAATAAACTTTATTATCACTTATTCGGCATTTAAATAACAAGTATTTACAAAAAGTACTTTGGGGTCAACCACTGTCAGGAGTGAAGTGTCACCATGCCACATACATGCCTCACCACTCCCGTTTTTGTTCTTTTTAAACATGTCAGGAAGTTTAGGCACAGAAAAATTCATTTGTCCAAACTTCAGACAATAGAGTCCAACATAAACACAGACAATAACAGTGACACTTGAAATAGTCAGTGAATTGGGCGATCAGTATGTAGCTAGGACACCAGCTTCAGCCTAAGTTGAACTTACCATAGGATATTGACATCTTTTGGGGTCCTGGAGACGTGGCGGGGAGAGGGTTCAAACTAAGAATGCTCCTTGATAAAGAGAACATATTGAGGGAGAACATGTTGAGATGCTTAAGTGAACAGCCAAAGGGGAAAGGGTTTTTTGAGTATGTGCTGTGCCTATTATTTGCATAACCCCACCCTCTGCTTAGGGAGAGAGGGTTGTAATAAAGAGCAAAACTTGAGTTAGACATGACACTAAAATTTCTGTGACAGACTGGGGCAAAAGCGCCTTATCTATTGGGGGTTCTAACAAGTAGAAATGACCAGAAAGGACTCTTTCCAGAATTAGTAAATATTGGAAGCTAGAGGAGGTAGGAAGTGGCTTCATGGCAACACTGCAGCTGTGCTTTTCATGATCATTAATGGATCTGATGGAATAAGACAGTGGAAAATGGTGAGTATTGGGCAGTAGCTGAGAGTTCTGTGTTAATGGGGGAAATGTGAGGGTATGAGAGGTGCTTGTTCTTATGATCAAATTGGTGTGAACTGAGTAAAGACAGCTGATTATTTAATATTTAGAATCCAAGGAAGATTCTCCCTGAATTGTAAATTGGCAGCCTCACTGGGCACACTGGCTGATGCCTATAATCCTAGCATTTTGGGAGGCCCAGGTAGGCAGGTGGCTTAAGCTCAAGAATTTGAAACCAGCCTGGGGAACATGGTGAAACCTCATCTCTACAAAAAATACCAAAAAATACCCAGGCATGGTGGTGCATGTCTGTAGTCCCAGCTACCCAGGAGGCTGAGGTGGGAGGATCATCTGAGCCCAGGAGGTTGAGGCTGCAGTGAGCCATGATTACACCACTGCACTCCAGCCTGGGTTACAGAGTAACACCCTGTCTCAAAAAAATAAAATTAAATTAATGAATAAATAAGTAAACTGGCAACCTACTTAGCCAAAATATACAATCTTTCTATTCTTTATTATTATTACAACTTTGTGTAACATGTTGCCTGTAGACATTTAATAATCTTGCTCATTAATTGAGACCTAGATGAACAAATAGTATCAAGTTCCCATGGTTCCTTATTTGGGCTTTCCCCTGCTGTGTGCAAAGGTTCTATATGGTTTTACTAGATCCATCAGTCAGAGCTCAGCCAGGAAGATTGAAACAACTTGAGGAATTTCTAATGCAGGTAACAATGTAGAAAATTGGTTACTTAATATTGGAGGATCTAAAAGAGCAAAAAGGAGAGGGTTTGATCAGTAACTGCAAGATGATACTTCTATCCTGTCAGTGACAAGACTGAAAGGGAAAATACTATTCAAGAGCCCATAATCTCTGCCATTAAAGCTGCTGGATAATCTCCGGCTGCTGTCAGAGCCACCATTGCCACTACTTGGCAAGACCATAGAAGTAACCTGCTTCTTCTGCTACTCTGCCTATACACTGCCTGAAGCCAAGAGAGGAAAAAATGCCCACAATCCTTAAAAAAAAAACAACAAAAAAAACTTTATTTTAAGATCAGGGGTATATGTGCAGAATGTGCAGGTTTGTTACACAGGTAAACCTGTATCATGAGGGTCTGTTGTACAGATGATTTCATCACCCAGTTATTAAGCCTAATACCCATTCGTTATTTTTCCTGACCTTCTCCCTCCTCCCACCCACCACCCTGAGAGGCCCCAGTGTGTGTTGTTCCCCTCTATGTGTCCATGTGTTCTCATCATTTAGCTCTCACTTATAAGTGAGAACTTGCGGTTCCTGTGTTGGCTTGCTGAGGATAATGGCCTCCAGCTCCTTCCATGTCCCTGCAAAAGACATGATCTCGTTCTTTTTTATAAAATGCTCTCAAGCTTATTCCCACCGTCCAATTTCCTGGTAGGACCTCCCGCTAGGAGAGTATAAGAAAGCTGCTTGGTAAGGAGGGAATCTTGTTAAAAATAAAGTTCGCAGACTTTCAGCTTGCTTATAAGAGAGAAACACAGATGCATGAGCCTGGAGCTGATAGCCAACAGACAAGCAATCAGCCCTTTGGGTTACCCAACTCAAAGTTAAGCAGGAAGCCAACAATATTGCAATAGTCCTGTTAGATTAAATTCCATTGCCAAATAGAATTTGTTTCATAAAAATTATAAGTGATTGCTACATAGTGTAACAGGTAACCACCAATTTTCTCCTCTTGTTTTGGGATCCATAGATATAGCTGTGAAAGGCTTGCTTCTATTTACAAAAATTTTAGTTGAAAAACATTTATAAAAACAAGAAAATATACATAGTATATTACAACCAATAATATACAGTCAGTATACATAACATATGTTTTATTAGATTAAGAAAAAGTGCAAGAAAGGAAATCTAATGTTTGTCACAGGGCCAAATACAATATCTGAGGATAAAATTTGATGAAAATAGCATTATGAAAATTCACTCCTATTAGATGATGGCTTTTTCATGTCAGCTTGATAACTTCCAGGAAATAAATGAAGGCATTTTAAAAATCAAAGTGATATAATCATATAAGTGGTGCCTTATAAAAATTCTTAATGGTACAGTATACCAGCTCCAAACTATGACAACATTAACCACATCAGGAGAAAGTAATGAATTATAATAAGTCTGGAGACAAGCAAAGAAATAATTAACATCTCTGAATCAATTTTACGGAGCTATTATCTTAATTTTGTGGTATTTTGAATAGAATACAAAATATTGAGTAATAAAAGCAAGATATTAATTAAACAGGGGTGATTTCTGAGACTTGTTAGTACACATGCTACCTTTTTTTGTTTCGTTGGAGACTGGAGTGTTACACTTCATTTTCGGACAAAGTAATCATCTACTTTTCCAAAGCAAGTTAGCAGTCAGGTAGAATCTAAATGACAAATACCATCTCTCCTCACAGGTGATATCTACAGACCACACATTTTACGAAAGAAGGATCAAGTCCAAATTATTACAATTTATTTATTCACACTGATAGACTATGCCACACACTAATAGGTGGTTCAAAGCAAAAGCTATATAATTGGTTTTGGATTTCCCAATCTCCTTTATTTCTAATCAGTATCTACTGTTCCTAGGCCAAGGATCCTGTCCTGTGAGGAAGCTAGTAGTATCACTCCTCCAAGCCCCAGAGATGACTCTGGTTTGGTGGAGACAGTGGATAAAATGTCTGAGCAGACAAGAGAGGCAGCCTCTAGACACACTCCCCCTGCAGGAGTTTAAGGGCCTGAGGCTGGGGAACAGCTACCAGCACCAGCAGCAATGCCCTGGAGTCAATCTTATGAAGCTTAGGAACTTTGAGCAATCACTATCATTCAGGTGATCCCTTGCAACAAACAACCATGATGTGCAGAGAGGGAAGGCACTGTAACTAGAAGAGAATATTGGATACGCTTGCCTTATTATGTAGTCTATTAGTAATCCCAGGACAGCCTCTAGCCAAAAAAAAAAAAAAAAAAAAAAAAAAAAAAAAAATGTCTTAAAGCTTAGTATACTTGATTTGGTATTTCACCTTTCCTGTGCCTGCCTCCCCAGTCAATCTAAGTGTTTATCCTGATTTCCTCTTAGAGAAGACATGTGCTTACTCTTTGCAATATTTGCTATGTTTATGAAATACAGGGTGCAAATTATATATTTCATAAAGGAGAGATACGTTTGTATTAACAGCATGATCTTATGCTTATAATCTCTCTTTAATCTGGATGTGAGTGATTATATGAAAGTGAGTGCATAATTTAAGTTGGTAATTTTTTTCTGTCTTATCGGTACACAAAGTGATGGCATATTTTACAATCTTTGGTGTTATAGATTAGATAAAATATGTAATTCACTTAGTAAATGTGAAATATTGCACAAATTTCAGACCCCTACTGCATAAAATGTGGAGGTCAACACTTAACTAAAATGATTTTTTAAAGTTTCTTCCGCTTTCAAAACCTGTCGAACTATTTACTAGATCTTCAGCAAAAAAAGGTACTTGGTAAAGAAATTGAGATACCAATGACAAATAATCTATCAAGCAAACTTAAGTTATTGTTCAAAATTAGTAGGCAGGAAATAGTTTAGTTGAGGACAAGACCAGGCTGCCAAAGACAGAGAGAGAGTGACCGAGAGAGAGAGAGAGAGAGAGAGAGAGAGAGAGAGAGAGAAAGCTTAAAAGCCCAGAATAAAACTGCATATACAATATTTAACATGTTTTAATATTTCTTGAAATGCACACACTGTATTACCTGAGCTGCTGAAGTGAGTAGTAGCCAACACAACCCTTCTCCATATCTCATATTTTAAAGAACTGAGAAGTTACATTCATAATTTATAAATCAAATTAGAAATTTTCTGATTGGAAAAAAGAAGAAATTTGGTGCCCCCCAAAAATGCCTGAGAATGTATCCCTGTGGATGTTGACCTGGGGAAAGCCATTTAGTCATTTCATCTATTGAAGATAAAATTATTTTGATCCTCTAAGCTAT